>NC_000002.12:24024906-24176422 GCF_000001405.40 Homo sapiens | reverse complement strand
GCTATGATTGGGCCACTGCACCCCAGCCTGGGCTACAGAGCAAGAACCTGTCTCTAAAATATTTTTTTTAATTAAAATGAAGATGGCAACTGAAAAAGTATGTAAAACAATTAAACATGTATCCTGACACTACAATAAAAATTTAGAATCTATTTATTTATTTGGAGAAGCAGAACATATTGACAAGCATCTTGGGAAGTCACCTTCTTAAAGAACATCCTAGTAAGATTGTTAACAAATGTTATGTACATTCTTGAGTCAGATTCTCAAATAATCTTTGTTTAAAGAAATTAAACAGTTTTTGTCTTTGATGGCTCTTCTTTGTGATTTTGCCAGGAAATATAAGGAAAAGGTCATGATTTGCAGCAGCACTTTTCGAAATCCACAGCTTTCTGTGCACACACATAGAAAAATTAAGCATCTCACTGCTCCGACCGCCACTAGGGCAAAAGGGGAAAAAGAAAGGAAATTTCCAAGAGTTTTTCACAGCGAGGCAAATCATAGGATGACACAAAATAATGAAACTTTTTGAGAAAATCATTACCAGACGCTGAAGTATGCAGAATTGACTGGCAAGCCCAGACCTGGCTTCTGCCGGGGAGCTGGGGTGGCTGCCTTCACCCGCCCGGCTGCCCGCCCCCGTCGGTGCGCCAGCCCCCAGGCTGGCGACTGGAAACACTCTTGGCCACACTCTCGGCCAAATCTGAGCCCGAACATTCCCCTTCAACGCCTGCTTTAAAGCAGGCACTGTCACAATCCTGAGAACAGAAGCGAAATTAAGATAAACAGTTCCCAAACTCGAGGGGTCCCCCCGCCAAAATGACGTCTCAAAACGCCACGTTATCTCACCTCCATTAAAGAAACGGACTCGGGCTCCGGCCATTCTCTTAACTTTTCTGGCCTGAAATGTTCATCATAACTCGCAGTTTTGGTGGCAGCCATGGACAGGAGAATCCCTGAGGGATGAAAAGGTAAACTGAGGCTGAGGAAGACGGTTACCGTTGAGAGCCAGGCCTTTGGGCTCAGGGAGTGTTCAAATCCCGCTCGGCCCCTTTCTAAAAGCTGAGCCGAGTCACCCAACAAACTGGGATCCTTGGCGCCCTAGGCGCTTCAACAGGCCCGGCTACCCACTCCCGTGTCGTCCTCGGGCCAAAGCGGGCCTTTCCTCCGGGGCGCGCCCCCCTGGCCCTGCCACAGCCCTCCCTGGGCTCCGCGACCCCCAGGCCCGTAGGCCTCCCCGGGCCCCACCTCAGGCCAGCTCCGGGGGAAGTCGCAGGCCCCGCGGCTCCGTCCCGGTAGGGCTCCCCCGAGGCCGCGTCCTGGAGCGGCGACGGAGAAAGGAGCCCGCGGGCCCGAGCGTCGGGGCGCATGCGCCACGCCAGATCCCGGGGTGCTGCCCCGACGCCAGCTGGACGGTGACGCCGAAGTCCCGGGAAAAGGAAGGGCGCCATTTGATTTCACAGCAAACGGGCGGTGACACCGACTTCCCGGGAAAGGGAAAGGCGCCATTTGATTTCACAGAAAACGGAAACGCAGTGATGAAGCCCAGCGCCTGGCCCTCGCCCTCCCTCCACGTCTGTCTCGGGGGCGCCCTCCCCTCGCAGGAGCCAGGGCACGCGGGCCTTCAACCGCCGAGGCCCCCGCCGCCCTTCTGGACTTTTATCGAGGCATGTACACTAATACGAAAGAGAATTTGCCATTTACCTGTAAGATTGAGGGTGACAACGTAAGAGGAATGGTTTTAAGTGACGCGTCCGGCTCCTTACTCCCACTGAAGGGTGAAGGTGCCACAGGTGGACCTGGTTTGGATTCTGATGTGAAGAAACCGACTTCAAAACATTTGGGCCAATCAGGAAAATGCGAAAACTCTGACTACAAATTTAATGATATCTAGAATTATTGTTAATAGTTTAAGGTATGGTACATTATCACAACCAAGATTTGACATAGCTACAGTCAAGATACAGGATATTATCTTGTATCAGGTGTATCAGGACACCACTACAAGGATTACTCTGTTTTCAGCCAATGTTTCTTCAAGTATGTTTTTTAGTCCTGCCTGTTTCTCTCGTCCTTCTGGGATTCTGATGACATGAATATTATTATAGCCCCCACAGCCACTTAAGCCTCTCTTCTTCCCTCCACCCCCAGTCTATTTTCTCATTTTTTAAGATTGGGTAATTTTTATTGTTCTATCTTCCAGCTCACTGATTCTTTCCTCCATCTTCTCTATTCTACTGTTGAGCTTAACTGCTGAGCTTTTTATTTTGGCTATTGTAATTTTCAGTTCTACAATTTTCATCTGGTTCTTCTTTGTATCTCCTGTTTGCTCAGGATTTTTATTTTTTCATTTGCTTCAAGTGTATCCATATTTGCTCATTGAAGCAGTTTTCTCATAGCAACTTTAAAAGTCTGTGAGCTTATTCTAACATCTTTGTCATCTCAGTGCTGGTCTCTATTGAAGTCTGAACATTTTCAGTTTATATTATGAGACTCTGGATCTTATTTAAACTTTCTGTTTTAGCTGGCTTTCTCCAACACCAATCTAACAGGGTTAATGAGGTTACCACCTCATTACTGCCAGATGGAGATAGGAATCCAGGTGCCCCAGTTGGCCTTCATTGACACTTGAGGGGCCAAAGTTCCTCATTACTGCTGTGTAGACCATGATTTAGAGATTCTAGTCAGGCTAACTGAGAGACCATTCAGCAAATTACTTCCTTATATGGTATAATCTTCTCGAGAAAAGGAGCTGAATCTATCTCATCTTTACATCTTTCTCATAACATGGGACCATCTATGACTGACCCAAATAGCAGGCGAACAGAAAATTCCTGTTGAGTAGACGACATACACAGAAAAGTATAATATACTGATGGCTTAAACTACATTAAGTATAAGCAAAAGGTGATACAAAATAGGATTTTTAATTTCTACCTAGCTTCTTCCTTACTTCATTTGAAAATAAAAGTTTCCCTGATTTACTGAATCAACTTATTTCAATCTCATATGATTTAAAAGCTTACCTGAGCATTTGTCTCTTTACTTGATGTTCCCTGGCAATGTCGCCTTTTTTACATGGTGAAAATAACTGTTAAGGATTTGAAAGATTCTCCTTTCAATAGGTAGTGCTTCACTGAGTCTTCACCTAGGCTCTTGCTGCAGGCTCTGTGTCTCTTTCTACATACCACAACTAAGTCAGTTAATCTCATAGTATTAAAATCTTTTGTTACTGTTTCTCCCACTAACTTTAGGGCAGAGAGCCTATGTTGGCTCATCCTTATATCCCCAGAACCTGGCAGAGCACCTGGGAAAAACAGGCACTTAAATACTTACTAAGTGAATGATGAATAAATAAATGAATGAGACATAATCCCAACATCTACACAAAATGAAATTTCAATGTCAACATATGAAAAAAACATTTAAGAGACTGAAGACTTGTCTACCAGGAGAGCATCAAGCCTTTTGAAGCTTTGCAGTCGGCCTCTGGTTGCCATTTTGGCATAGCTAGTATTTTTAGTCATTTATAACTGTAATAGAGAAAAGCATTTCTATCCAAAAAGTCTCTTTAAATCAAAAAGTCTAGGCCAGTCATGGTGGCTCATGCATGTAATCCCAGCACTTTGGGAGGCCGAGGTAGGAGGATCGCTTGAGGCCAGGTGTTCAAGACCAGCCTGGGCAACACAATGGGACCGCGTCTCTACAAAACGTTTAAAAATTAGCTGGGCATGGTGGCAGGCACCTGTAGTCCCAGCTACTCAGGAAGCTGAGGTGGGAGGATCACTTGAGTCCGGGAGGTTGAGGCTGAAGCAAGCCATGCTTGTATCCACTCCAGCTGGGAGACAGAACAAGACCTTGTCCCAGAAAACAAAACAAAAGTCTCAATGTTTGTGAAGTGTACATGTTAACCTTAACCATAAGAACAAATTTGCACCTAGATTTTTATTTTAAAAGTATGATATAGATTTAGGCTACCTGTTATAAAGAAAACTTAAGAAATTTCTAAATTTACTTGAACGAAGGAAAGGCTATGGAGAAGGCAGTAATGACTGATTCATGGAACAGAACTGATTTACCGAGACTTTTCTCCTTCTATAAAAAGTCAAGGTGAAGTAACAATATCCCTTTAATGCTGATGTGATTTCTAGAAGTCTGTTTTGACTGATGAAGTAATATAAAAGGGAAAAAATGCCAAGAACTAGAGTATTATAAAATCCTTCAGGGTCTCCCCATAAATTCCAAACGCTTTAGCATGACCTGTAAGATTCCTGCCTGTCTTTTTGGGCTCAGCTTTCTTCAGTGATTCCTGGCCTCCTTGCTCCACATGGTGGATTAGAGATGCCTGCGTGGTCCCATCTCTGGCAAATCCCTGACTCCACTCACAGAGGTAGACTTTTTTTTTTTTTTTTTGAGATGGCGTCTCTTGCTCTATTGCCCAGGCTGGAGTGCAGTGGCGCAATCTTGGCTTACTGCAGCCTCCCCGTCCTGGGTTCAAGCGATTCTCCCGCCTCAGCTTTTCTGAGTAGCTAGGCTTGCAGGTGCCCCCCTACCATGCCCAGCTAATTTTTGTATTTTTAGTAGAGATGGGCTTTTGCCATTTTGGTCAGGCTGGTCTCAAACTCCTAACCTCAGGTGATCCACCCTCCTCGGCCTCCCAAAGTGCTGGGATTACAGGCGTGAGCCACTTCACCTGGCCAGAGGTGGACTCGATGGCAGCACCTCCCTGTTCTTCTCTGTGGCTAATTGGTCAAGGAGTGTACACCTGACCCAAGTCTAGGATCAGATTCTCCTGTCTTTCTTCTAGGATTATAGACGTCTAACCAAAACAGAGACTTGGAAAGGTGTTGTGAGTCACGTTCATGACAACAGCCTAGAAGGGTCTGAGATGCCTGCTGCTCAGGGGCCAGTGCTGTCAAGGTTCCTGCCATTCCTGTGGAATTCAGTTTTTTCTCAGGGTTCTGTAAGATGCTTTGGCACTCTTTCAATGAAATTTTTTTTTTTAATCCCAACCACTAGACCACCAGGGACCATTTGTGCTTATGTTAGCTCTGGTTAGCTTGTTACTTGCAATACAAATGATCTCAAATAATACAGAAATAGTACAAGGCTTCAGAGGAAATGTGAGATATTTGGAATTGGTATTCGTGTCAAAGTGCAGGGAAAGGAAAGGCATCTTCTCTTCACCATGTGGAATGAGCAACTATATTTGTGATACGACATCTGGGATTTGCTTCAAAGTCATCCAGTTAGGGTTGAGAAGTAGGTATGCATATACACAAAACAAGACTGGACATGAGGTAATCAGTATTGAAGCTGGATGTCAGAAACATAAGGATTCATTATACAATTATAATTATTTTTTCTGTAATTCTCTGAAATTGTGCATAGTATAAAGTTTTAAAAATCTAGTTTTCAGCCAGGTGCAGTGGCTCATGCTTGTAATCCCAGCACTTTGGGAGGCTGAGGCGGGTGGATCGCTTGAGCCCAGGAGTTCAAGATCAGCCTGGGCAACATGGTGAGACCTCATCTCTACAAAAAATACAAAAAATTAGCCAGGCATGATGGCGTACACCTGTAGTCGTAGCTACTCGGGAGGCTGAAAGGCGGAGAATTGCTTGAACCTGGGAGGTCCAGCCTGCAGTGAGCCATGATCATGCCACTGCACTCCAGCCTGGGCAACAGAACGAGACCCTGTTTCAAAAAAAAAAAAAAAGAAAGAAAGAAAGAAAATCTAGTTTCACTTAGAACCATATATTGATTAGGGGTGAGATGTTGGGAGACTAGATAACTGTCAGGGTAGAATAATTTAAAGAGGATGAGGAATATGGAATGAGAGAAAAATGGATAATTTAAAGCAAGATAATATAAAGCTCAGATGCCAGAATGTGCAAGGCATTAAAATATAGGGCCACTATTTTTAATAAATCTTATTCCATCTGTGGCCCTCAAGTTCATAAATTGATCCTGTAGGTTGCTGAATTGCAATTCCAGATGGATTAACATTGCTGCCAGTCTTTTATATGAAATCTAGGGCATTGACTAGGAAAGAGGGGGATCTTGGAATTATATATATTTGGGGAACAGACAGAACTGAAGAAGTCAGACTCCCCCAAGTCTTTTGAAAAGGTTACCATGGTGTCCCTTTGCCTAAGGAAAACAGAATTCCACTCTTCTATGCTCTGTGTCCTACTGTGTCTTCCTGTGACCAAGATTCAAACTCAACATGAGCCAGAGGGCAATGTTTAGAATCAGCAAGTGAGTAATTATACCCTAAATGAATTTTTTTTTTTTTAAGATGGAGTCTTGCCCTGTCACCCAGGCTAGAGTGCAGTGGTGCAATCTCGGCTCACTACAGCCTCCACCTCCAGGGTTCAAGCAATTCTCATGCCTCAGCCTCCCAAGTAGCTGGGATTACAGGTATGTGCCATCACACCTGGCTAATTTTTGTATTTTTAGTGGAGACAGGGTTTTGCCACGTTGGCCAGGTTGGTCTCGAACTCCTGACCTCAAGACAGGTGTTCAGATGGAGGCCGAGGCGGGTGGATCGCTTGAGCCCAGGAGTTCGAGATCAGCCTGGGCAACATGCCTCAGCCTCCCCAAAGTGCTGGGATTACAGGCATGACCCACCTCACCTGGCCAACCCCAAATGAATTTTTAAATTTTCTAAAGAATGTTGGGAAAACCTGGGGAGGATATGTGGATGTGGCCATGAAGTGTGCATGACCAAAGGGAGCATACCTTAATTGAGGAACAAGCCAAATATACAGAGATGGACACTTAGTGAGGGAGCTGTAATTATTTTTATTGGTTCGTTCAGCAATATTTCTTAACTTCTGGGGAAAATACATGGTATTGCCATTTCTTAATTATCACAGACACTGAACTCAAAAATTAAAGGAAGTTCGTTGCAGATGCTTTTTTTTTAGAGACAGGACAATTCTTGAGTGCCGTCCTTGGCCTTCACCCTGATTCCTGTGAGCAGATGACTTCCTCTGAAGCAGCCTGATTTTGTGTATCCTTTCACCAATCAAGGATCAGGGTGTGTGCTCCTTGGTTGCTGAAACCTTTTGAAGGTGACAAAAGGGAAGAGTTGAGTGTGGTATGGGGATGAGGGGCTTACGAGAGCAGAAAGCGTTCCCCAGCTAAGCTGAGCTGATCCCCCTGAAGCCTGTCCTGCCAGAGCCGAGTGACTCATCTCTCAGGCAGGGTCTCCACCTAGGCCTCCTGCCTCAGCCTTTCCTCGCGCTGTCTGGAGTCAGAAGCACTGAGAGATTCAGGGACATGGTCAAATAGATGGGGTGGATCACTGATGTGTGACATGATTTGAGGGAACCCCTGTGGTCTCAGCTTTCAGATGTCAACATGTTTGGAGTACTAATTTCCACTTGGATTGTTGTGATTTAGAAAATACTAGGTTCCTTTCTTCCCTTTTCTCTTCAAACCTCTAAATTCTCTATTCTGTGCCTCGCGATCAGCTGATGATCTCACTTGAGAAAATGAGTAAACAGAAGGAAACAATCTTCCTTTGCAAAATCCACTGAGCTAGTTTGACCTATATCCATGTACTCAGCCTTCCCTCTTCATACAATGGATAGAGTGTCCTGTCCACCTGAGTCCAGGGTGCTGCCTCCTCACCTGTGGAAGGACTCTGCCCTTCTATTATACCCCCTCTCTCTCCAGCATCATCAAATCTCCCTCTCTATGGGAGCATTCCCATCAGGAAACATACATGTTATAATATCAATATCGCTGATAAAAATATTCCCTTACCTTACCTTCTCCAGCCACTTTATAGCAAAACCCCACAAAAGCATTGCTTATTCTGTCTCCACTTCCTCACCCCAATTCTCTCCTGAACCCACTCTAATCAGCTTTCATTTCAGCTGCTCCACTTAACCTCTCTGATGAAAATCAGCAGTTAGGCCTATATCTCCCCAGTCCTCATTTTACCTCCCTCTCAGCAGCATTGCCACATGGCTGGGCATGCCCTCTTTTCTGAAACCCTTTCTCTACTGGGCCTCTGCAGCAGCACATACTTCTGCTTTGCTTCCTTCCATACCAACCTCTCGCTCCATGAATGTTCCTTCACCAGCTCTGCCTCCTTGCCCCAACCTCTAAATCTTGGCGTTCCGCAGGACTAACCCTCGGCCTTCTTCTCTTTGACACTCACCCCCAGGTGATTGCATGATTTCACATAGCATCTATATGAGGATGACTCTCAAAAACCTGTCTCCACCCCCAGTCTCCCCTGAACTCCAGACCGGTACATCCACCTGCCTACTGTATATCTCCTCTTGGGTATAGGATGAGCATCTACAAAGATACTGAAATGGATCTAATTTTAGTCTCAGTATCTCTTTAGGTGATAGAGGCTATGTTCCTAAGTGAAGAATGAAGTAGTGGCAGTTCCATCAGATGCTTAGAGCCAGAGACAGTCCTAAGCAAACACCTGGAAAAGAAATCCGGTGAGAAATTCCAAGCAATAGGAATTTTCTCTGAAGATCACTTGGAAGTGCCCCATGAGAAAAACCACTAGCTTCAAACCCCTGCCAAGCCCAGAGAATGCCTTACACTGAAATAGATCATCATAAAATTAATAGGTAAGAACTTTCCTACCCACCCATTATTTCTCTTTCCTCCCTCCCACTGTGGACTCTGAAGATATCAGAAATCACAGTGGCAAGAAACAGGGGTAAGGAATAGGAGAGTAAGAAGGGAAAGAGAGAAGACATCTACCTCCCTCTTCTTTCTTATAGCTCCAGCTTCAGCAGCCCCAAACGCGGGGAGGGAGACCTTAAATGAAGATTGAAGCTTTGGTCATTATGTTATACGAGACTGGCCATATTAGTTACTGAACAGACTGTCTTCATAACCAGAGGCTGTTTATTATCTGAGAATGCCCAGGGCAGGAGAAGAACCAACCCCAACAGAACAGGTTTAAATGGACAGTGAGGGGAAGAGTTCATTTGCTCTAAAATCACACCCTACAAATCCTCCTCCGGTATTATAATGATTGCAATGGAATCAGCCCCAAACACGGTTATTCCTCACTTCTGCACTTCTCTCCCTGCAAACCTGCTTTCCCCCTAGACCTCCCTAGGTCAGTGACTAGAACCACAATCCACCCAGGCCCCTCCGCACTGATTTCTCGCTTTCACCCACTTCCACGCTAACAAGGGAGCTCTGCCAGCTCCTCTCCACCCACGCTGGAGCCTGGAGCCCTCGCTCTCACCTGGCCTGGAACCCTCAACTGCCTTGACGGCCCTGCCTCGGCTCCAGCATCAGCAGTTGCTTATGCGGCAGCCATGTTCTTTGTACAATGCTGATTAGATATGATTTCCCCCCTACTCCAGACCTCCGCACAGCTTCCCCTCACACTTTGAATTTTATTCTAACTCCCTTTCCCGGCCTGTAACCCCAACCTGCCTGGCTCCTGCCTCTGCTCCAGCCTCACCTCCCGCCCTCTCTCAGCACTCACTATCTTCAGCCTCCCCACTTTTTCTTGCTGTTTCCTGAACACACCAGCCTCACTCCCATCTCAGGCTTTTGCCTGGGCCCATCCATCTGCGCAACACTCTTTCCCCAGATCTCTCCACGCCTCACTCCCTGGGTTCCTCAGCCTGCTGCACAAACGTCATCTCAGAGGAGAAGCCTCCTCTGACTTCTCCACCTAAAACAGTCCTCTTCATTCGTCCCCCACTCTCCCACCCCACCCCCTCTACCTGCTTTGTTTTCCTTATTACTAACTCACGTGATGTTATGTGTTTATTTGGTTGACTACTGTCTATTTCCCCATCAAAATGTAAGCTCCAGGAAATCGGAGCCGTCTCTGTTTTGTTTCCCACTGTGTCTCCAGCCCCTCAAACACTGCCTGGCTCAGAGTTGGCGCTTGTTAAAATTTTGAGGAAGCAAGCAAGCAAGCACATGGGAGGATACCAAAACATGGCAGTAAAAGGAGCTAAACACACAAAAGAAAAGGTTAGTAAATTTTCATGAATGAGTAAAAAAAGTAGCACCCCTGTCCTTTAAGGGTAGGAGTGGGGAAATGGAGAGACAGTCAGAAAGGAAGATGGCAAGATTGAAGGATACTCAGAAGACAGGCCATTCACGTGCTGATTTCTAACTGGGAGTGGGGAGGAAGGCCATGACTTCTCGAATACACTCCTAAGAGGCTGACTCTGGACAAGAGAACTGGAGGGAGAAGCTCCACCTAGACCCAGAAATGGTAGGCTGGGCTATCTCAGTCAAATGGCCACCAAGTTTAACCATCATTACCTTAGGATGAGAAATCTATGTTCTGTAAACACCTATATCTATCTATCTATCTATATATATGTGAATACATACATATATATATATATATATTTTTTTTTTTTTTAGACAGAGTTCTGCTCTTGTTGCCCAAGCTGGAGTGCAGTGGCGTGATCTCAGCTCACCGCAACCTCCGCCTTCCAGATTCAAGCGATTCTCCTGCCTCAGCCTCCTGAGTAGCTGGAATTACAGGACTCCATCACCATGCCCGGCTAACTTTGTATTTTTCAGTAGAGACGGGGTTTCTCCATGTTGATCAGGCTGGTCTCAAACTCCCAGCCTCAGGTGATCTGCCCACCTCGGCCTCCCAAAGTGCTGGGATTATAGGCATGAGCCACCGCACATGGCCCAACACCTAATATTTCTATAAACTTTCCATTTTAAATGTTGGGGCTTTTTTCTTCATTTATTGCACATGCTGGGAGAGGAAGGAGTCAAGCACCAGGATATAAAATTGTGCTCTTCCATGGTCATTCAGACAGAATCAAGAATCCAGGTTCTAAATGTCTTTAAGTTCAGAATCCAGATCAGGGTCAGAAGAGGTTGACAGCTGCTGCTAGGGGCTGGGGGCTGCAGAGACAACAGCAGACAACAGGCATGCAGCTGACCGTGGAGGGCTCCCATCTGGGACCTGAGGATCCTTGGAGATCACGTAGGGGACTGACAGCAGAGCCTCAGAGCAGACAGGGGCTGGTACTAGGAGTTGGAGGGATGATCACATCTGCACAGAGAGGACCTGAAAAGGCATTGTCCTTTTATATGTATCCCAGAATACTGTGTAGGGCCTCTCTGTAAGGATAGGGCCAGGGTTGCTCCTTGGCCTTGAGTTGGCCTCATGAGGAGTCCAGTACAAGCCCTGCAAACTTGTCAGCTGGAGACATCGGTGCCAGCTCTTCTTTATGCCCCGCTGCTTGAGACACTGGGCAATTCCTCTAAATAATTCATGATTCTTCTTCTCAACTCTTCAAATGCAAGAAATTCCCATTCTTTTAGGAAACTCTGGATCTCCTGGTTACTCCAGGTTTTAATTAACTGGTCTGGGCATTTTTCTGGTTCCTCAGTTTCATTTTCCTCCTTTACTTCCAAGCATTTCTAATAATTTCAGTCTGAAGTCTCACCTTCTCCTTTCTTATTCCTGAGTTTTTTCCCGGGATCCTTTCCACCAGTCACAGGGCCTACTCCAGGGTCCACAGAGAACAAGCCCTCACTCAGCCCTAATGCAATCCAGGAGTCACAAGGTGCCGAGTGAGGAAGCGTGGGTGCTCCTCTCTGCTGCTGGCAATCTCTCAATATGGGGGCTTTCACTTCCTAAATTTTACTACTTGAATTTAGTATTGGTCCTTTTGAAAATTTTCTACCTATCTTGACTGCCTTAAGGTTAACAAAATGTGGGGCCTGGCTTGGCTATGCTAAGTGGTAAATGGTAGAGACAGGGTGGAGATGGCGGACTGAGAGAGGGGCTGGGGAAATCCTGGACAGCGTGGCCCACCCACCAGGGGGCACCCTCATCGTGTGGCTCCACCAGGGGGCACCCTCATCGTGTGGCTCCACCAGGGGGCACCCTCATCGTGTGACTCCACCAGGGGGCCAGGGCAGCCCTCTCCATTCCCTCTGAATAAAGGGCACCTGCCCCTCAGCTGCTTCTAACCTATTCCCCACTGCCTCCTCTCTTCCTGGAAGCCTGCCATACAAAGAAAGTTCCCAGGTGCTCAGATTTTGGTATCAGCGATTGCCACCTTATGTATGATGAAATGGGACAGCCCCAGCTCTTACCCATCCTGGTCTTCCTCCCGTTCCTGGCTGAGGCTCAAGGAAGAAAAATACCCTTCAGAGATGGCCTCTTTGGCACTTGGATTATTTCCCTCCTGATAGCACAGCGGTTCTCTTTCTAGAAAGGATGACCCTTTGTTTCTGCAGGAAGGAACCAGAAAGGAAGGGATTCTCTTAACTCTCAACTCAACTGTAGCACTTAATATTTTTATTTAAATTTGAAGTTGATGAGTTCTATGTGAATTTGTGTATTTTTATGAAAATAAACGTATTTACTTTTTTTGTGTGAAAATAAACCCAAATAAATAGTATTGCCTTGCTCTAGTCATAGTTTCAGCTGTAATCTCTGTGCTGCTTAATCAAACAGCTTTGGGTCCTTTGGAGTGAATGATCCCTCATAGAGTTGTCCAGTTTGCCCTCCCTGAGAAGGTCTAACTCTGCCAAGGACAAATATGCCTTCTCCACCCCTGCTGCCAGAATTGGGATGCTTCCCTTATTCATGGAAGAGAATCCAGTCTTCCTCTTTCTTCTAGAGTGAGCCTAGACTTAAGCCTCTAGTCTAAAATACAGGAACCCACTACTCCAGAAATGCAATATCCTCCTTCACACGTGGGTCTCGCTTTGCTAGAAGATGTATTTGAGAACAAAATCTCTCCTTTTATATCATTTATCAAAATTAAATAGAATTAAGATGCTGATTATTGTAAAATCTTACCCAAACAGGTCTATTTGAGACTCTGGTAATTAGGGATTGCAGAAGAACTTACTCCTTTGGACCCTAATATGCAAGAGTGAGTCTCAATTCTCTTTTCAATCAATCATTTTGTCTTTTAAGGCCTTCAGCTACCAAGGGAATAGGGCTTAGTTTGGACACTTCCTTTTTCCCCTCACTTGTGGCTCCTATTCAAGAAACAACCCAGCAAATGGTTAAACCACACCTCAAGGACAATGAGCCCATGTTGGCCAACGCCCTCCCCAGCTGTCATCTGTTTCTACGGTACATCACTAAGGTCCTCAGGAGACAATTAGTTGTTCTCTCTGCTGGTCATACCAGCATCTCTAAAAGCCCTCCAGCTTCTGCCACACTGTATTTATTCAACAAATTCTGAACCTGTTCAGGAAAAGGAAACTACTGCAGCTTACTTCGGGCACTTTTTAGGAACAGAGAATTGTAAGCCGATCTCCTAGAAAGTCATAAAAGCTCACTTTTCTTGCACCTTGCTAGGTTCCTTTTTTATTATTATTATGAACAATTTTAATAAGGTGTAATTTATATGACATAAAATTCACCCATTTTAAGTGTACAAGTCAATGGTTTTTAGTATATTTACAGAGTTGTGCAACCACCACGACAATCTTATTTTAGAACATTTTCATTAACCCCAAGGCTCCATGCTCATTAAGTCACTCTCCACTCCCATCCCCAGCCCTAAGCAACTACTATCTACCTTCTGTCTTTACAGATTTGCCTTTTCTGAACATTTTGTATAAAAAAACATACTATATGTAGCTTTTTGTTATTGGCTTCCTTCACTGAGTACAATGGTTTTGAAGTTTGTCTATGTTGCAGCATGTATCAGTATTTTTTTCCTTTTAATTGCCAAGTAATATTCCATTGTATGGATATACCACATCTTGTTTATCCATTCATCAGCTGATAGACATTTGGGTTGTTTCCACTTTTTTGGCTGTTGTGAATAATGCTGCTATGAACATCCATATCCTAGCCTTTATGTGGATATGTTTTCATTACTCCTGAGTAGAAACCTAGGAGCGGAATTTCTGGGTCACATAATAATTTAATGTTTAACATCTTGAGAAACTGCCAAGCTGCCTTCCAAAGTTGCTGCACCATTTTACATTCCCTCCAGCAATATCTGAGGGGCAGCACGACTTTTAACCAGATAGTCACAAGATACATAATTATGTAGAGAAATCTCTTAATTCTAAAACTAGTTAGCTGAGATGATTCCCCACATTATATACATAGTATTTGATAGTATGTACCATTCTCTGTTTACAACAACATCTTTCACTCTAGGTACAACATTGTAACAGCTACTACCCACCCAAACCAGTCCCAAACTCCATTTATACTACTCCAATTCAATTTTAAATCTCCTAACCTTTTAGCTTTAGTACAAGTTGTTAACAATTTTTTTTCCATTTCTGTGTTTGTTATTTCTGTATTAGCTACTTGTTTTGTTGTTGCTGTTTGGTTTTTTTGTTTGTTTGTTTTTGAGACAGAGTCTTGCTCTGTCGCCCAAGCTGGAGTGCAGTGGCACAATCTTGGCTCACTACAACTTCTGCCTCCCGGGTTCAAACAATTCTCCTGCCTCAGCCTTCCAGATAGCTGGGATTATAGTTGCCCACCACCACGCCTGGCTAATTTTTATATTTTTAGTAGAGACAGGGTTTCACCATGTTGACCAGGCTGGTCTCAAACTCCTGACCTCAGGTGATCTGCCCGCCTCGGCCTCCCAAAGTGCTGGGATTACAGGCGGGAGCCACCGCACCCAGCCTACTTGTTCTTTAAGACCAGAAAAGCCTGGGAAGTGTTGCCACCTCACCAGACACAGTGGTAGGAGATGCCCGGTGTCCTGCCACAATGGAGCTTTGTGTGTGCCTCAGCACCGTCTCAGCAACATGAAAGGATGGCAGGGGATGGCAGCACAGCCTAGCATCTTAGCAAAAGAAGAGCAAAGCTATGGAAGAACAGACTTACTTGTAAATAACTGTTTTTTCTTCTTCCTGGGATTCCAAAAGATAAGGAGCTCTTGCCAAAGGTTTCAAATCAAAACTACAGTCATTAAAATTCACTTTCACCTTTAACCTTTAACAAGATAACAAGTGTGAGAAGGTTTTTTTGTTCTTTTTTATTGTTGTTTTTTGAGACAAGATCTCTGTTGCTCAGGCTGTGGTGCAGTGGTGCAATCACAGCTCACTGCAGCCTCAACCTCCTGGGTTCAAGGGATCTCTCCCACTTCAGCCACCCTCCGAAGCAGCTAGGACTACAGGCATGCACCACCATGCCAAGGGATTTATTTTTATTTTTTGTAGAGATGGGGTCTCAACATGTTGCCCAGGCTGGTCTCAAACTCCTGGCCTCAAGTGATCTTCCTGCCTCGGCCTCCTAAAGTGCTGAGATGATAGGCATGAGCCTCCACGCCTGGCGGTATGAGAATGTTTTGAAAGCAATACTAGCTTACATTTATATAGGAAATATTATTATACACTGACTGCTAAATATAGAGACAAAAACATCATTATTCCAACTGGTATACATTCTTGGATGAAATCAGTTGTTTTAGAGTTTCTGAAACCATGATGGAGATTGATTTACTGTTTACTGAGAACCAAGGATCAGCTAAGCAAAGTTTAAAGTACTCCCTATCCACTAAGAGCTTAAACTCCAAAGTAACAAGAAGCCACAGAAATTGTGTCATTTATAAGCATTATATAAAATGCTTTTCCCTAGAGAGAATCCAAACATTCCACTTCCCAGTCCTTTGCCATGGGGTGGCAGACAGGTATCTTAGAGTCCTCCAATCTTGCACCCATGCAAGGGTTGATTGGAAGGGTGATATTGGCCCTGCGTAGAACATAAATTTTGCTGGCACAGAGAAAACATAGAATGTAGTACAGCAATGTATGAAATGCTTGAAGAAGAAAAGGAACCAATCACCAAGATAAGAAAGCAATAAGAGCCTATTGGGAATGAACAAGCATATTGGGGGGAAAAAAGGAAATTTAAGAAATTAAAATCTTAATATCAAACACAGCGAAGAAAGAATTAGCAAACTGGAAAATATATACAAAGAGGAAAATGGAAAATATAAAGGACATATTAAAAGATATTAAGATAATAAGAAGGCCTAATATATATATCTAATCTGAGCCCAGAAGCAGAATGCAAAGAATGAAGAAAAAGCAATATTTAAAATGATAATTTTAAAAATTGCTGTATATTTTTCTGAACTGATGATAAACATGAATACAGAGATCCAGGAAGCACAACATATACCAGTAGGTTAAATAAAAAGAAATCCAGCTGGGTGCAGTGGCTCACGCTTGTAATCCCAGCACTCTGGGAGTCTGAGGTGGGTAAACTGCTTGAGTCCAGGAGTTCGAGACCAGCCTGGTCAACACGGTGAAACCTCATCTCTACTAAAAATACAAAAATTAGCTGGGTGTAGTGGTGCATGCCTGTAGTCCCATCTACTTGGGGAGCCAAGGAGTGGGGAATCACTTGAGCCCAGGAGATCAAGGCTGCAGTTAGCCAAGGTCACGCCACTGCACTCCACTCTGGGTGACAAAATGAGACCCTGTCTCAAAAAAAAAAAAAAAAATGAAAAGAAAAGAAACCCATACCCAGACACCAGCAGTGAGAATGCAGGACACCTAAAGACAAAGAGAAGATCGTAGCAGCAGCCACAGAGAAAGGACGGAAAATCAGAGTGACAGCAGACTTCTCAAAAACAACAATAGAAGCCAAATAACAAGAGAATTATGTCTTTAAAACATTAAGAGAAATAATTGTCAATCTAGAATCGTGTGCTTGGCAAATTATCTTCAAAGGTAAACAAACATTGAATTGTAAAGGCCAAACTTCAGAAAAAAGGAAAATGATCCCAGAAATTTGGTATAAAATGGAAAGAGGGACGGGATGCATATGGATTCCTTCCTCTTTGTAGCTGTCTCCCATACCTATATCTGCTACAGAACTGTACCGAACTCCTATTGGTAACTTCAGATGGGATGTTTCCTCTTGGATGTACCCAAACTAGAGGTCATTTATTAAATTAATAAAATTATAAAACAAAGCATTGAGTGATTTAAATCCCAAGAAACTGTTCTTCCTCCTTTTCTATTTTTATCCAAGTTCTACCTTTGTCTGCTTTCTATTAGGCTAGGTTAAATGACCCTTCTTTGTGTGTCCTTAATAATATGTGCATATCACATTGTAATAGAATGATCTGCTTAAATATCTGTCTTCTCTATTCGATTGTGAATGCTTTAAAGGCAATTACAACTCAATACATGATTCTTTGATGGAATGAATTAATGTAATGTTATAGGATGAATTACGTGCACCCAAAAAAATATCTTCAAATCCTAATCCCTGGCATCTGTGAATTTGACCTTATTTGGAAATAGGGTCTTTGCAGATGTTATCAGGTTAAAATGAGGTAACAGTAGATTAGGGTGTTGGACCCTAACCCACTGATAGGTGTCCTTATCAGAAGAGGGGAATTTGGACACAGACACAGAGAGAAGACCATGTGAAGATGGAGACAGAGACTGCAGAGATAAGGCTATAAACCGAGGAACACCAAGGATTGCTGGATTGCTTCAACCATCAGTAGCTAGGAAAGAGACAAGGAGCCTTCAGAGAGAGTGGCCCTGCCAGTACCTGGACGTTAGTCTTCCAGCCTCCAGGACTGTGGAGAATAGATTCCTGTCATTTCAAGCTGCTCAGTTTGCAGTGCTTTGTTATGGCAAGCCCAGGAAACTAATACAGAGGATAACAATTCTCAAAACTTCGAGCTCCTCTCTGACTCTTAGTTCTCCCTGGCCCTCCAAATGTAGTCACCAAAATCTAGAATTCCCTTGTGTCATCATATCGATCTCTGTTTCACTCCTCTTGCCACCATCGTGACTGAGACTCTTATTACCAAAAATGTGGATTCCTATTTTTTAAAAAAACTCTTCAGTGATCTCCAACCTCCAGTCCTATCCTATATCCAAACTGTCATATACCTCACACATCAGATTAAAGTTTCTAAAAGCACCATCTCCAGCATCTCACCCCCTCCTCAGCTATCCTCACTGACTCCCCATTCCCTACATGATAAACTCCCAACTCTTTAGCTAGTATTGAAGGTTCTTTGCAAAATGGCTACAAGCTAGATTCACAGACTTAATCAGTGACTGGTCATCCATTCATTCATTACACAGACAAGTAAACAGGTGCAAACTGTGTGATCGATGAAAAAGTACATCGTGGGACAAAAGAGAGACTAATCTGTACGGCCTAGTGTAAACAGGAGGTGACCACCTGGAATGACTTCAGAGAGGAAGTTTTAAAGCGGCATTTTAATAGAGTCTTGGGAACAATGTTTTGGAAAAAAAAAAAAAAAAAGGAGGTTCAGAGAGAAAGCCCAGCATATGTGAAGAATACGGTTGATTCAGGTAGTTGTGGAAGACCTGGTATTGTTGGAGTACAGAGTAGAAGGGAGGGAAAAATCAGCCCAATCTTGTATGTCATTCCAAAGAGATCACATTTTAACTGAGGGACACAGGAATCACTAAAGAGATTAAGTTGGGCAGTAACATGACATGCCACATTTCACCCTGGTAGCACCATGTAACATAAGGGAAAGTGTGGCACTGTGTTTTAGAATGTAGGCTGTGGAGTCAGAGACCTTAGTTCAGTTTCTGAATCTACTGCCTTATGGCTATAAATAAGTGGTTTTCAACCTGGTATGTGTTCGAATCATCTGAGGATCTTGAAAAAAGACTGATGTGTAGGTCCCACCCTCAGAGATTCTGACTTCATTTGTCTAGGGTATGGCTTGGGATATTAATTTTTTTTTTTTTTGAGACAGAGTCTCACTCTGTTACCCAGGCTGGAGTGCAGTGGTGTGATCTCGGCTCACTGCAACTTCTGCCTCCCAGGTTCAAGCAATTCTCCTGCCCCAGACTCCTGAGTAGCTGGAATTACAGGCATGCACCACCAGGCCCGGCTATTTTTTGTATTTTTAGTAGAGACTGGGTTTCACCATGTTTGCCAGGCTGGTCTCAAACTCCTGACCTCAGGTCATCCACCCGCCTCAGCCTCCCAGAGTGCTGGGATTATAGATGTGAGCCACCATGCCCGGCCAGAATTTTTTTTTTAACTTTCCATGATATTCTGATATAAAGCCAAAGCTGAAAAATACTGCTATAAAATTGAAAAGGTCCTTAAGTCATCTGTGTAATAGTACCTACCAAATAAAATTTCTGTGAAGATGAAACAAAATTAGCACATGTTAAGAAGTGTATAACTCATTCTATTCATCAGCACATAAAATGTTCTCCAAGATAGACCATATAATAGGCCACAAAACAAGTGTCAGTAAATTTAAGAAAATCAAAATTATATCAAGTACTCTCTCAGACCACAGTGGAATAAAATTGGAAATCAACTCCAAAAGGAACCCTCAAAACCATGCAAATACATGGAAACTAAATAGCCTGCTCCTGAGTAATCATTGGGTCAACAATGAAATCAAGATAGAAATTTAAAAAGTCTTTGAACTGAAGGATAATAGTGACACAACCTATCATAACCTCTGGGGTACAGCAGAAGTGCTAAAAGGAAAGCCTACATCACAAAGACTGAAAGAGCACAAACAGACAATCTAAGTCCACACCTTACAGAACCTGAGAAACAAGAACCATCCAAACCCAAACCCGGCAGAAGAGAAATAAAGAGATCAGAGCAGAACTAAATGAAATTGAAACAAACAAACAAACAAAAAATACAAAAGATAAATGAAACAAAAAGCTGGGGGGGGGGGGGCGGAAAGAAATGTATAACAGTGTCTGGTACATCAGAGCTCAATAAATAATAAATGTTATTATAGATTGGACATGAGAATGGGAATTTGGTTTATGGGAATGTTTAGGAAGGGGCAAATTATTATTATTTTTATTATTTTTGAGATGGAGTTTTGCTCTTGTTGCCCAGGCTGGAGTGCAATGGCCCGATCTCGGCTCACTGCAACCTCTGCCTCCAGGGTTCAAGCGATTCTCCTGCCTCAGCCTCCACAGTAGCTGGGATCACTGGTTTGTGCCACCATGCCTGGCTGATTTTTTGTATTTTTAGTAGAGACGGGATTTCACCATGTTGGCCAGGTTGGTCTCAAACTCCTGACCTCCGGTGATCTACCTGCTTCAGCCTCCCAAAATGCTGGGATTACAGGTGTGAGCCACCACGCCTGGCCAGAAGGGGCAAATTAGAAGGAGATTTAGGAATGGATATGACAGAGCCCAGTGCTGGATTAAGTAAAGGGATAATGAGCAATAAAGAAGAACCCTGATATTTCCCATAACCAGGAACACAAAAAAAGCAAGTTAGATGCAAAAGATGACAAGCACGACTCGCTCACTTTTGGATAGGTTGAATTTGACTTATGTGTGGAAAATAGACAATTGAATATTTGTGACCGGAACACAGAAGGCACACACATCTTGCTACAGTCTTCTGAAGACATTCCAGCATTCCAGAACTGTCTTAGTCGTTAAGCACTTGAGCTTCTTCCCAATCTCAGACTCCTGGCCCCATCAGCACCTTCTACATAAGGCTATGGGATGTGGACCCCAAGTGTTCAGGCTGGAGACTGAAAAGTGGCATCACAATTATCCTCAAAATTTGAAAAATATATTGAAGAGAAGCTGTTCCTCTATAGGATATATAGGAAATTCCTCTATAAGAAATAAAAATATGAGCATGGTGGCCGGGTGCAGTGGCTCACGCCTGTAATCCCAGCACTTTGGGAGGCCAAGGCAGCGGATCACCTGAGGTCAGGAGTTCGAGACCAGCCTGGCCAACACGGTGAAACCCTGTCTCTAACAAAAATACAAAAATTAGCCGGGCGTGGTGGCGGATGCCTGTAATCCCAGCTGCTCGGGAGGCTGAGGCAGGAGAATTGCTTGAACTGGGGAGGCAGAGGTTGCAGTGAGCCAAGATCAGGCCACTGCAATCCAACCTGAGCAACAGGCGCGAAAATCCATCTCAAAAAAAAAAAAAAAAAAAAAAAAAATATATATATATATATATATATATATATGCATGGTCTTCAATGACTTCTGGCACACACTTGCTTAGTGTGTAAAGACTAAGATTCAGTAAAAGGGCTCATAGAAGAAGCCAGTCACCCGCAAACACGCCAGCCCCCATAAGGCTAGAGAAGTATGAGGTCATAGAAGATAATCTGACAATCATCTAAAAAGGACATTTTCTTTATCACATTAATGACCACCAGTCATTAATGGTGGTCATTAATAAGTAAGTAAGGGTGGAAACAAACAGTGTGACTGGAACTCACTGTATGCCCATTAATGTGATTTGCTCACTACAAAATCAATATTCTAAATATCATCTTACTACATGATCAGAGTTAAACCTATTATCACTGTATGCCCATTAATTGCTCACTATAAAATCAATATTCTAAATATCATCATCTTAATATACCATCAGAGTTAAACCTATTATAAATAGACTCCTGGTTTGGATGGAACCTATTTAATTACTAGAGCTAGGATTATGATGCTCAAAGTAGACAAAGAAAAAAAGTAACAGCCATTGTTTCGAAATTCTGTTTTAAGGTTTATTTCTGTCTTATGTAACATTCACAATGCCATTTGTGGCCACTTTTTAAAAATAACAAATGAAATGATTTTAGTTCTGCTTCCATTTGGGATGTAGAAAGCATCCTAAAATAGAAATAATGATGCTCTAGAAATAATGGTGCTCTCACCCCAAGGGCAAAAAAAGGCCAGATAATCTACAAAAACATAACTTTTATTGAGCCCATCAGATTTCAAGGCAAAGAAGTAAACTGAATTCCAAAGACAAGTCCCTCCCACGAGAGGCAGGACACAAAACCTGCTTCGCCTTTGGTAGAACATGAGAGGAAAGGGTGGCTTCTTCTCTTTTTCCTCTCATGCTCTCATCCTCAGATAAAAAAAGAAAAACATTGATGATTAGCTGGACTTTATTAAAATTTAAAATGTGTGCTCTGCAAAAGACACTGTTAAGAGAATGAAAAGATAAGCCATAGGCTGAGAGAAATTATTTGCAAAATATATACCTGATAAGGGACTTACATTCAAAATATACGAAGGATTCTTAACACTCAACAATAAGAAAACAAACAACCCATTTTAAAAATGATCAAATGATCTGAACAACAGACACCTCACCAAAGAAGACAGACAGATGGCAAAAAAACATGTGAAAATAGTATATGGCAAAGAAACATATGAAAAGATGCTGGAGGCAGAGCAAGATGGCAGAATAGAAGCTTACACCCTTTATTCCCCGCACTGGAACAACAAATTTGAACATCTATCTGCACACAGAAAAGCACCATCACCAAAACCAAAAATCAGGTGAGCAATCACAGTACCTCGTTTTAACTTCATATCACTAAAAGAGGCATGAGGAGAGCAGGAGGGACAGTCTTGAATCACTGATGCCACCTCTCTCCTATTCCCCAGTCATAGCCGTGTGGTACAGAGAGAGAGTTTGTACATTTGGGGAGGGTGAGCCCAGTGAGTAGGGGACTTATGCTGAATTCGGTTCTGCCCTGTCACAACAGAGAATAAAGCCATGCTGGGCTCAGCCAGCACCCGCTCAGGAAGCCAACATTTGGACCAGCCTTAGCCAGAGGGAAAGTGCCCATCCCAGTGATTGGAACTTGAGTTTCTCCACAAGCCTCACCATTGTGGGCTGAAGTACCCTGGGCTCCTAGGTAAATTTGAAAGGCAGTCTAGGAACAAGGACTGTAATTCCTAGGCAATTCCTCATGTTGGGCTGAGCTCAGAGCCAGAAAACTAGGGTGGCACGTGACCTAGGGAGACACCAGCTGGCATGGCTAAGGGAGTGCTTGCACCATCCCTCTCCCAACCCCAGGCAGTGCAGCTTGCAGCAACTCCAAAGGTGACACCTTCCTTCTGCTTAAAGGGAGGAGAGTGAAGAATAAAGAGGACTTTGTCCTGCATCTCGGATACCAGCTCAGCCACAGCAGGATAGAATAGCAGGCAGGGTCCTGCGGTCCCCATTCCAGGCCCTAGCTTTGGGACGACATTTCTAGACACATTCTGGGCCAAAAGGGAATCTGCTGCCTTGAAGGGAAGGACCCAACCCTGGCAGGATTCATCACCTGCTGACTAAGGAGCCCTTGGGCCCTGAAAACCAGCAGCAGCGATACCCAGGGAGTATACTGGGGGCTCTGGATTCTGAGATGTGCTGGCTTCAGCAGTGACCCAGAACATTCCTAGCTGTGGTGGCTATGGTGAAAGACGCCTTCTGTTTGAGAAAAACAGAGGAAAGAGGAAAGGGAACTTTGTTTTGCACCTTAGGTCCCAGCTCAGTCATAGTAGGATAGAGCAACAAGCAGGCTTTTTGGGTCCCTGAGTCTGGGCCTGGGCTCTTGGACCGCATTTCTGGACCTGCCCTCAACCAAATGGGAGTCCATTGCCCTGAAGGGTGAGTCCCAGGCCTGGCAGCATTCACCACAAGCTGAAGGGAAGAGCTCTTGGGCTTTAAGTAAACATCGGTGGTGACCTGGCAGAATCCCCATAGACCAGTGGTGGTGGTGGCCACAGGGAGAGGATTCTCTGCCTGTGTAAAGGGGAGGGAAGAGTGGGAAGGATTTTGTACTGTGGTGTGAATGCCAGCTGAGCTGCAGTAGAAAAGACCATCAGGTAAACTGCTAAGGTTTTTTTTACTTCAAGCCCTGGCTCCCAGACAGCATCTCTGGACATGCCTGGGACCTGGGGAACTCACACCCTGAAGGGAAGGGCCTTGTGCAAGACTCGGTGCTATACTAGACGTCTTCAGGTCTGACCCAATGCGGCACCAGTAATGGTGGCCACAGGGGTGCTTGCATCATGACACCCCCAGCTCCAGGTGGCTCAGCACAGAGAGAGAGACTGTTTGTTTGGGAGAAGGTGGGGGTAAATATCAGGAGTCTCTGCCTAGTAACCAGATAACTCTTCTGGATCTTATCAAAGTCCACAAAGGCAATACCTCTATGAGTCTGCAAAAACCACAGTATTATTGGGCTTGGGGCCCAAATCCCTTCAAACACCTGGAAAGCCTTCCCAAGAAGGACAAACCCAGAATGTAAAGACTACATTACCTAACTCTTCAATGCTCAGACACTGATGAATATCTATAAGCATCAACACCATCCAGGAAAATATAGACATACCAAATGAACTGAACAAGGCACTAGGGACCAATCCTGGAGAAACAGAGATATATGACCTTTCAAACAGAGAATTCAAAATAGCTATTCTGAAGAAACTCAAAGAAATTCATGATAACACAGAGAAGGAATTCAGAATTCTATCAGATAAATTTAACAAAGAAATTGAAATAATTACAAAGAATTGTCTGGGCGTGGTGGCTCATGCCTGTAATCCCAGCACTTTGGGAGGCTGAGGCAGGCAGATTACCTGAGGTCAGGAGATTGAGACCAGCCTGGCCAACATGGTGAAACCCTGTCTCTACTAAAAATAGAAAAATTAGCCAGGCATGGTGGCACACATCTGTAATCCCAGCTACTCGGGAGGCTGAGGCAGGAGAATTGCTTGAGTCCGGGAGAGGGAGGTTGCAGTGAGCTGAGATCATGCCACTGCACTCCAGCCTGGCTGACAGAGCGAGACTCTGTCTCAAAATAAATAAATAAATAAAAATAAAAATACAAAAATTAGCCAGGTGTGATGGTGCATGCCTGCAATACCAGCTAAGTCAGGGAACTGAGGCAGGAGAATCGCCTGAACCCAGGAGGCGGAGGTTACAGTGAGCCGAGATTGCACCACTGCACTGCAGCCTGGGGGACAGAGCAAGACTCCGACTCAAAAAAAAAAATTGTCTTGGGCCACACAGAAACACATAAAATACACTAACATTAATGATAGCTAATGAGCTAAAAAAAAAAAAAAAATCACCAAAAAATCTCATAATGAGGCCGGGTGCAGTGGCTCATGCCTGTATTCCCAGAACTTTGGGAGGCCAAGGCGGGTGGATCACCTGACGTCAGGAGTTTGAGACCAGCCTGGCCAACATGGTGAAACCCCATCTCTAATAAAAATACAAAAAATTAGCCGGACGTGGTGGTGGGTGCCTGTAGTCCCAGCTACTCAGGAGGCTGAGGCATGAGAATCACCTTAACCCAAGAGGCAGAGGTTGCAGTGAGCCAAGATCACACCACTGCACTCCATGGACCCTGGGTGACAGAGCAAGACTCTGTCTCAAAAAAAAAAACAAAAAACAAAAAACAAAACAAGCAGAAATTCTATAGTTGAAAAATGCAACTGACATGCTGAAGAATACATCAGAGTCTTTTAATAGCAGAATTTATCAAACAGAAAAATGTATTAGTGAGCTTGAAGACAGGCTATTTGAAAATAGACATTCAGAGGAGACAAAAGAAAAAAAGAATAAAAAACAATGAAGCACATCTGTAAGATCAGGAAATAGCCTCAAAAGTGCAAATCTAAGAGTTATTGGCCTTACAGGGGAGATAGATATAGAAGTAGAAAGTTTATTCAAAGGGATAATAACAGAGAACTTCCCAAGTCTAGAGAAAGATATCAACATTCAAGTAGAAGAAAGTAATAGAACATCAAGCAGATTTAACCCAAAGAAGACTACCTCTAGGCATTTAATAATCAAACACCTAAAGATCAAGAATAAAGAAAGGATCCTAAAAGCATCAAGAGGAAAGAAACAAATAACATACAATGGAGCTCCACCACATCTGGCAGCAGACTTTTCAGTGGAAACCTTACAGGCCAGGAGAGAGTGGCATGACATATTTAAAGTGCTGACATGGCCAGACATGGTGGCTCATGCCTGTAATCCGAGGATTTTGGGAGGCTGAAGCAGGTGGATCACTTGAGGTCAGGAGTTCAAGACCAGCCTGGCCAATGTGGAGAAACCCCATCGCTATTAAAAATACAAAAATTAGCTGGGTATGGTGGTGCACAGCTGTAATCCCAGCTACTTGGGAGGCTGAGGCACAAGAATCACTGGAACCTGGGAGGCAGAGGTTGCAGTGAGCCGAGATTATGCCACTGCACTCCAGCCTGGGTGACAGTGAGACTCTGTCTCAAAAAAATAATAATAAAATAAAATAAAGAAATAAAGTGCTGACAGAAAAAAACTTTTACCCTAGAATAGTATTATCCAGAAAAAAAAATATCCTTCAAGCATGAAGGAGAAATAAAGACCTTTCCAGACAAACAAAAGCTGAGGGATTTCATCAACACCAAACCTATCCTATATGAAATGCTAAAGGGAGTTCTTTAATCTGAAAGAAAGGGATGTTAATGAGCAAGAAGAAATCATCTCAAGATACAAAACTCACTGGTGATAGTAAGCACAGAGAAAAGCACAGAATAATATAACACTGCAATGGTGGTGTGCAAATACTCTTATCTTATTAAATAGAAAGACTAAATGATGAACCAATCAAAAATAATTACAACAACTTTTCAAAAAATAGTATAATAAGACACAAAGAGGAACAACAAGAAGTTAAAAAGCAGGGAGACAAAGTTTAAAGTTTTCACTAGTTTTCTTTTTGTGCGTTTGTATATGCAATCAGTCTTAAGTTGTCATCAGTTAAAAATAATGGGTTACAAGATAGCATTTACAAGCCTCATGGTAACCGCAAATCAAAAAACCAGTAACAGATTTACAAAAAATAAAAAGAAAGAAAGCAGGCCAGGTGCAGTGGCTCACACTCCCAATACACACAGAAACCAATACTATGGCATTAGATTTTTGAGAGAAGAAAAGCCTTATTACAAATCAACCAACAAGCCGGGCGCAGTGGCTTACACCTGTAATCCCAGCACTTTGGGAGGCTGAAGTGGGTGGATCACCTGAGATCAGGAGTTTGAGACCAGCCTGACCAATATGGTGAAACCCCGTCTCTACTAAAAATACAAAAATCAGCTGGGTGTGGTGGCATGTGCCTGTAGTCACAGCTACTCAGGAGGCTGAGACAGGAGAATTGCTTGAACCTGGGAGGTGGGGGCCACTGCACTCTGACCTGGGCGATAAAGCAAGACTCTGTCTCAAAAAAAGAAGAAGAAAAAAAAACTACAATGAGTTATCATCTCTTCCCAGTTAAAATGGCTTATATCCAAAAGTCAGGCAATAACAAATGCTGGCAAAGACGTAGAGAAAAGGGAATGCTTGCACACTGTTGGTGGGAATGTAAATGGGTACAACTACTATGGAGAACAGTTTGGAGGAGCCTCAAAAAACTAAAAATAGACCTACCACGTGATTCAGCAATCCCACTGTTGTGTACACACTCAAAAGAAAGGAAATCAGTCTATTGAAAAGATATCTGCACTCCCATGTTTGCTGCAGCATTGTTCACATTAGCCAAGATTTGGAAGCAACCTCAATGTCCATCAACAGATGAATGGATAAAGAAAATGCACTTACACGCAATGGAGTAATATTCAGCCATAAAAAAGAATGAGACCCTGTTATTAGCAACAATATGGATGGAACTGGAGGTTATTGTGCTAAGTGAAATAAACCATGCACAGAAAGACAAACATCATATGTTATCACTTATTTGTGGGATCTAAAAATCAAAACAATCGAACTCATGGAGATGCAGAGCGGAAGGATGGTTACCAGAGGCTGGGAAGTGTATTGGGAGGGTAAAGGGTAAGTAGGGATGGGGTTAATGGGGACAAAAAAATAGAAGGAATGAATAAGACCTCGTATATGATAGCACAACAAGGGGACTATAGTCAATAACACTTTAACATACATTTAAAAATAACTAAAAGGGTATAATTAGATTCTTTGTAACATGAAGAATAAATCATTGAGGGGATGGATACCTCATTTTACATTATGTGACTATTATGAATTGCATGCCTGTATCAAAACATCTCATGTACCTCATAAATATATACACCTACTATGTACCTACAAAAATTAAATTTACAAATTAAAAAAAAAGGTATCAAGACTCCTATTCCTATACTAAGCAGAAATCTTGCTGTCGTTGGAAGACAGACAGGACACTGCCATCCAAGAACAACCACAGATACAAGGTCAAGTTTGGCTGCCACAAGGATAAGGAAAAGGAACCTCAGGAAAGTCCTGCTTCTGAGGCCTAAGCACATAGGGCTTGTCTAAAACTGAAGCTCCATGAGAAAAACATGGGATATTCCTCTGCGTCCACTAGAAGCCTTGCAATAAGCAACATGCAACAGTGGTATACTCCCGTGGGAGAGGGAAGAGCATGGAGAGAATACCCCTCCACTTCTATGATGCCAGCTTGCATGGATAGCTGAAAACTGAGGAAGGAGCAGAAACACTTGAGAAAATCCCTCTGGCACCCCACCCGCACTCTAAGCACAAGGAAAAGCAGCCTAACCACTGGAGGTATTCAAGCCTGTGATGCACTAAAGGTAACAATAGCAATAACATTACCCAAACCCAACTCAATTCCAACTAGATAAGGCTAATCCTCCACACTAATGCTTGACAGAAGAAGAGGCATATCCATTTCTAGACATAAATACTCCATGTACACCATTCTTCTACATCAAATATCTGGCATTCAATAAAAAATTACAAGACATGCAAAAAAAAAAAAAAAAGGCAAGGCAAAACAAGCCATTGTCAAGAGATAAAGCAATCAAGAGAACTAGATTCATAAATGACCCTAACATTAGAACTACCAGATAGGGAGTTTTAAATTATTAATATGGTAAAGAATCTAGTGGAAAAGGTGGACAACATGCATGAACAGATGAAGAATTTCAGAATAAATAAAAACTATCTAAAAATTCAAATGGTAATGCTAGAAATTTGAAAATCATGATATCAAAGATGAAGAGTTCCTTTGATGGGCACAGGACACAGCTAAGGAAGGGCAGTGAACTTAAAAACAAGTCAGAAATCATCCAACTGAAAAACAAATAAGGAAAAAAAGAGTGGAAAATCAGAACAGAGTAAGAGCTATGGCACTGTGAGACATCATCAAGTGATCTAATATACATATAATTGGAGTCTCAGGAGGAAGAAAAAAAGTAGACAGAACAGGAAATAAGAAATATTTGAAGTGATAATGGCCTAGGATTTCCCCAAAATAATAAAAGACATAAAACCACACATATGAGAACCTCAGAGAACATTAAGATAGACAGAAAAAAACAAATATAAACAGATCATAATCTAGCTAATGAAAACCAAAGAGAAACAGAAAATCTTGAAAGTACCCAAGAAAAAAGAAACATCACATACAGAGAAACAAAGATAAGAATTATGGATTTTTCATTGAAAAATGAAATTTTCAGAGTGAGACTCTGTCTCAAAAAAAAAGAAAAATGATAATTTTAAAAAATCATAACTATGAAAAATGTTATATCAGTCTGAAGAATTTTCAAAGTCCAAAAGGTTCTATAATTTCTAGTATATTAACCATTACCTTCTCCTTCTACAAAATTCACTTTCTATGTATCTTGTAGGCAGTTTCAGCCACTCGTTTGGAGTTATAAAGTGCCTTGAATTAGAAATTTGTGGGAATCTGGAATGCAGCTGAACCTTCTCAACTTCTTTGAATTCCTTTATTGAATATATTTTGCCTGAAGGAAGAATAAAAATCTAAATTAACATCCTTAAATGCATCTGCCATTGCTCTTGGGCTATGAAATCACATAACAATTAGGAACTAAGTACCAGTCTCACACTGAAGAAGAGTTCTTTTTTCGTTATCCTTGTCATATTGTGCTTTTTTCAAAGGGTCATGAAATGGTGGGATGGTAACCTACAAGAGAGGCACTTGTTTAAGCACTGAGTTGCAAGTCTGAGTAGTAAACATTTTCAGTCTATTCTAAGCATCCACATATGGATGGCTCTTATGCCGGGAGGGTAAATAATATGGTATTTACAAATAGCAGGCTTACCATTATATTTATTTAATATATTACAAAGAGATGGGGGTATATCAATACCTCTCTTAAAGGCCCTCCAGTCAAAGAGACAAAGTTAGCTCTTGTTTCAAAGTGTGGGTTCAATCTTCAAAAATTATTTTGTTGTTACCATATGTTCCCAAATTTTAAAAATTCCTTTCCCATGCACAAAAGAAAAAATATATCCATATATTCATCTTAATCCCTAACATTGATAATCAACAACATAACTAACATTACTCAAAACTTAACCAAGTTATTCAAAATATAGATCATTTGTGAGCCAAGGTATGGAAGCACTGAATCTATGTTAATGGCCAATATTATCAATATCAAAATGACAGTTCTACATATGAAAACAGGATTCATGAACAGCAACATTCACCATTTAGGCCTAGTCAGTGAAATTCTACCACAAGCTTAAAAGGTCACTCATGTATCTTTCTCATGCTCATCAGGCTAGTTTTTCAGGGGTAGTTACAATACACATCATGACTATTAGAGTTAAACGGTGATCAGACTGCCCAGTATAATTTTGCTTTTACAGAAGTTATGAAAAGTGCTACTCATAAAATATTAAGAAAATATTAACTCACTATAAAAAGGAACAAAAAGGCAGGGTGCAGTGGCTCACGCCTGTAATCCCAGCACTTTGGGAGGCCGAGGCAGGCGGATGACAAGGTCAGGAGATTGAGACCATCCTGGCTAACATGGTGAAACCCCGTCTTTACTAAAAATACAAAAAATTTAGCCAGGCGTGGTGGCGGGCGCCTATAGTCCCAGCTACTTGGGAGGCCAAGGCAGGAGAATGCCATGAACCCGGGAGGTGGAGCTTGCGACACTGCACTCCACTTGGGCGACAGAGCAAGACTCCGTCTCAAAAAAAAAAAAAAAAAGGAACAAAAAAAGGTACTATCATTTTCAGGTATTTGTATGTGACCTATTCATATATGAAGAGCAGATCAAATTTTAAATGACATTGGACTCTGCTGCTGGAGAGTTATTGTGTTCCTTTGGAGGTGTCAGAGCCTTGCTTTTTCACGTTTCTTGTGTCCTTACATTGACATCTGTGCATCTGGGGTAATGGAGGCTTCTTCCTGTTTTCTGGATTGCTTCCGTAGGGGAGGACTTTTTCCTGGAGACGTGTCTATGGTGTTGGATGGGTAGGACACTTTGGCTTTGATCCTGGGTGCGTGCAACAGTATAGTCTCCATATTTCTTCAGCTGCAAACAGCGTCAGTGGTGTCTGTGTTTTCCTTGGTGGCTTAGGGTACAGTTGTTGGAGGCTGTGGTGAGGCTTTGCGGGGGATGGGGACACTGGGCAGGCCAGTCCCCAGCCTCAGCGGAAGCAGTGGCAGGCCAAGGGTGCCTGTCCTTGGTCCTCAGAGCAGTATACAGTGGCACCGGTGTTACGGGTTCAGGTGGGCCAGTTCTTGGGTCTCCAGGTGGCTTGCTTGGGTGCATGCAGTGGCTGCGGTCGGCCAGGTGGATGGGCAGGTTCTTGAACCCCTGGGCACTGGTCATGTTGTGGGCAATGGCAGTAGCAGTGACGAGACAACCCTTTGTCTCCAGAGTGGTCCACACGGGTGTTGGCAGTGGCTACAACAGGCTGGGTGGGCCAGTCTCCAGACCACCAGTTGGCGCGTGCAGGAGGTTGCCAGCTGTGGTGGTAGCAGCAGGCTTGTGGGCTCTCGCCAATGGTGGTGGATGGGGCAGGGCAATCCCCTAGCCCCCTGCAGAGTACTCGGGTGGGGGTGCTGGTGGCTGTGCTGTGGACCTGCTGCTGTGGAGGGTGGGGTTGCTTTCAGTGGCAGCAGGCATAGGGAGGCAGTTAGGGAGTGTATGTTTCAGCCTAGGTGATGCTGCAGGTGGGGCCTGTCCTCTGGGTGCAAGAAAGTGAGCCGTGGCCCCTGTGCTGAGGTCAGCAAGGTTGCTGCCAGCTGCTCACACCTCGGCCCTCTCCATCTCCGGGCAGCCCCCGTGTTAGTCTCAGGGCCGAGCAGGCTGCCTCACCTCCCTCTCCTTCCTCACCTTAGATGTTTCCTTGTCACTTCTCTGTGGAATTCCAGTGTTCCTCTTAGATGACGTGTTCCAAGTACAATTTTCTACTCGCTATTTTGGTTCTTCTGTGGAGGAGGTAAATGTCAGATGCCTCAAGCCAGTCATCTTGAAGCTCTCCGACAGGGTCTCGCTCTGTCGTCCAGGCTGGAGTGCAGTGGCTCACCGCAGCTTCAACCTCCTAGGCTCAGGCCATCCTCCCACCTCCACCTCCCGAGTGGCTGGGACCACAGGTGTGCGCCATGTCCAGCTAGTTTTTAATTTTTTTTGTAGAGACAGGTCTCCCTATGTTGCCCAGGCTGGTCTCGAATGCTGAGTTCAAGTCATCCTCCCACCTCAGCCTCTAAAGTGGTGGGATTACAGGCATGAGCCACCATGCCCAGACCAAATTTTAAATTTTAAATTGAAGATAGAAACAAACAACAATCTAAAGTTTTATCGACAATTATAAGTCCGGAGACACCTATCTCTACTGACAAGCACTTACACATCATAAATGGAGGTATTGTAACCCAGTGGTTCTGAAACTAATTTTTTTTTTTTTTTTTGGAGACTGCTGCCTAGAGTGCAGTGGCACAATCTCAGCTTACTGCAACCTCCGCCTCCTGGGTTCAAGCAATTCTTCTGCCTCAGCCTCCCGAGTAGCTGGGATTACAGGCGTAAGCCACCGCACCCAGCTGAAACTATTTTATTTCAAAACATTGTTGTTATATCCAAATAACTTTTGTGTATATGGCTTAGATCTATTGATATTTACTATATTAGAAATTAAAACAGAAAATTTTAAATTGCTTATTAATTTTAAAATAATAATAATATGCCTGTTATGTTTAACATATCTTTCTATGAAAAATAACTCTATTTCCTGAAACAAAAAAATGAGAAGAGTAACACTGTTTTACATTTTTGTAAACTTCTTTATGTCTTGCTTAATAGAAGACAGGTGGATTCTCATATCTGCTTCTGCAAGCAATCTGTTGAGATTTGTTGTTTTAGTTGTCATATATGAAGAAAATCCATATAGAGATACGTAATTGAAAAAAGTAGGAGTGGCCAGGCATGATGGTTCATGCCTGTAATCCCAGCATTTTGGGAGGCCAAGGCGGGCGGATCACGAGGTCAGGAGATCAAAACCATCCTGGCTAACACGATGAAACCCCATCTCTACTGAAAACAACAACAACAACAACAACAAAATTAGCCGGGCGTGGTGGCGGGCGCCTGTAGTCCCAGCTACTCGGGAGGCTGAGGCAGGAGAATGGTGTGAACCCGGGAGGCGGAGGTTGCAGTGAGCCGAGATTGGGCCACTGCACTCCAGCCTGGGTGACAGAGCGAGACTCTGTCTCAAAAACAAAAACAAACCAAAAAAGAAAAAAAAAGAAAAGAAAAAGGTAGGAGTATTTTAACAGCCTTTTTAGATCATCGTGGATATTTGTTTTTGATACTATACCCAAACTCAGTAAGAGGTAGTTTCTTAAAGGTTAGTTATGATGTGGAATCTGAAACCATATCTATGAATTTTTCATACTCTTCTACTAAGTCCATTAGTCTATCTTGCACTTCGAATGAATCTTTTTCCCACGCGTAATTTTGTAACATTTGGGGGAAAATTGGATCATGGAGTTATGCAAGATCTTCCAAATGTTTGTACATTTCATTACTGAATATCAAAGAATCACATTCATTAATATCAGTACCAATTTCATCAGAAAGGTCTTTTGAGTATTGGGCTACTGTCACACTTCTGATGGTGAATATGAGTTTTCCAAAATTCCAAATGTTTTGCTTGAAAGCTCACCTTTTATCATTGGCAACAAATATTGTCAGTAGTTTTTCTCAAAGTGACAAGCTGACTTCATTCATTTTCCAGAAAATATCCGCCAAATACCCAAGACTTAATAACTATAGTTTGTAAGTCATTCTTTCAAGTAAAAATGGTGTTTCATGGAAGAAAAAAAAGCAGCCAGTTCAGCTCACAATTCAAGCAATCATCCATATTTCAGTATGCAGCAGAAGTGCTGTTCGCATACTCCCATTTCATCACAAAGAACATCTAAAAGATGTGTATTGAAGGAGCAAGACTTAGTAAAGTTAATAATTTTTAAGTAGAGCTGCACAAAGCACATGCAAAGAAATGCTGAAGATCCATCTGAAGGGAAGGAATCAAGCCTCTATGTTCCTAAAGTCAGATCTGTCCCACTCCCAGGAAAGGAAGATAGAGAGGGTCATTTGGGTTGGTCTGAAGCCAGGTGCTCTGGGCCATCTCAAGCCCTACTGTTGAAATAAGAGGCAAGATGAACCTTTTCTGTACTGGGGAAATTGAAAGGGGGAAAGGAGATAATGTTGGATATCTCCACTTGATAACCCAGAATTGAGAATAAGGACAAGCTTACAGACTCTGTAGCAGCTCAGGAGCAGGGTCTGGGAAGTGCCAGGTCCATAAAGAGTACAGAGCAGGGCGCCAGGAACCCAGCCTGCAGAGCCTACCCGAGACGCTCTCAGGTGGAGTCTCTGCCAGACATGGGCAAGGACCTGGATCTGAAGACATGGATTACCAATGCTGGGTCTACAAATGGGGCCAGCACCTGAGCCACAGCATGTGACCGTAAGGAATAACAATCATAGTACAACCTGGGCCTGGGACCAGTGATGTGCCCCACCAAGAATTGGGAGGCTGTGGGACCACTTTGTAGGATGACACAAGCCCACAGCATGACTGTACAACTCAAGGTTGGATACCTCCAAAAACAATTAATATTGGACTTCTCACTGATTTGGACATGTGAGGGCCAATACCAGTTCTAACAAAACCTCTCTAAAAAGGGTAAAAATTATCCCCTAAATACCATTTTAAAAACTAGTATCTAGGCCAGGCGCGGTGGCTCACACCTGTAATCCCAGCACTTTGGGAGGCCAAGGCGGGCGGATCACGAGGTCAGGAGTTCAAGACCAGCCTGATCAACATGGTGAAACCCCGTCTCTACTAAAAATACAAAAATTAGGCCGGGCGCGGTGGCTCAAGCCTGTAATCCCAGTACTTTGGGAGGTCGAGGCGGGTGGATCACGAGGTCAGGAGATTGAGACCATCCTGGCTAACACGGTGAAACCCCGTCTCTACTAAATATACAAAAAAATTAGCCAGGCGTGGTGGTGGGTGCATGTAGTCCCAGCTACTCAGGAGGCTGAAGCAGGAGAATGGTGTGAACCTGGGAGGCGGAGGTTGCAGTAAGCCAAGATCACGCCACTGCACTCCAACCTGGGTGACAGAGCAAGACTCCGTCTCAAAACAAAATAAAACAAAAATTAGCCAGGCCTGGTGGCGTGTGCCTGTAATCCCAGTTACTCGGGAGGCTGAGGCAGGAGAATCGCTTGAACCCAGGATGGGGAGGTTGCAGGAGCCGAGATCGTGCCATTGCACTCCAGCCTGGGCAACAGAGTGAGACTCCGTCAAAAAAAAAAAAGGTATCTATTTTATATGTGCAAGAAACCTTATTAACAAATAATTTGTGTCACTAAATTCACTTGAATGCAATGCAATTATATTTTTTCAGCCATAAAATTTTTCTTTTTTTTTTTTTAGACAGAGTCTCACTCACTCTGTTGCCCAGGCTGGAGTGCAGTGACACTCAATCTTGGCTTACTGCTGCCTCCACCTCCCGGGTTCACGTGATTCTCCTGCCTCAGCCTCCTGAGTAGCTAGGACTACAGGTGCATGCCACCACACCCGGCTAATTTTTGTATTTTTAGTAGAGACAGGATTTCACCATGTTGGCCAGGCTGATCTTGAACTCCTGACCTCAGGTGATCCACCCGCCTTGGCCTCCCAAAGTGCTAGGATTACAGGCATGAGCCACTGCGCCCGGCTGCCATAAAATTTTTCTAGAGATCTATTGTACAATATGATGGCTATAGTTAATAACAAGGTATTGTATTCTTGAAAATTGCAGAGAGAGAAGATTTTAGGTTTCTTACTTAGAAAAAACTGGTGTTTGTGATGCAATGTATGTTAATTGGTTTAGTCATTCCACAATGTGTACATATTTCAAAACAACATTTTATACAAGATAAGGCCAGGCACAGTGGCTCAAGCCTGTAATCCCAGCACTTTGGGAGGCCAAGGAGGACAAATCGCTTGAGGTCAGGAGTTTGAGACCAGCCTGGCCAACATGGTGAAACCTCATCTCTACTAAAAATACAAAAATTAGCCGAGCATGATGGCACACGCCTGTAATCACAGCTACTCAGGAGGCTGAGGTGGGAGAATCTCTTGAACCCGGGAGGCAGAGGTTGCAATGAGCAGAGATCGCGCCACTGCACTCCAGCCTGGGTGACAGAGTGAGACTCCCTCTGAAAAAACGAAACAAAACAAAACACCACATCTGTGCTCTGCTATTTACAGCTGGGTGACTTTGACAAGTGACCTGAATCTTACTTGTCTCATCTGTGACTTACCTCACACAGTAGCAGCAAAGGTGAAATAAATGTGAAAAAAACCCTAAGACTTGGTTAATCCTTCAGTGCAAGGTTAATTAATTCTGCTATTAGTAACAGAATATCATGCAATGAAGAAAATTATATACTTATATTTTGAGAAAGAAGCAAATAATAAACTATTGAGGGAGGGGAAGCTCATTATAAAACCAAATGTAACTCCATTCTTATAAAATAAAAATGTGAATACATACACACATATAGAAAGAAGTCTAGATAGATATACAGAAAAATGTTAATGAGTTAACATAATGAATTAATTCTGGGTAATAGAATTTTGGTTTTTTATTTTCTTAATTTGAAAATCAATTTTCTCATTTATCTATCATGAAAATGTGTTACTTTTGTAACAAATTTAAAAGTCTATGGAATTTTTAAACGTTACCTATTACCCAATCATTATCCAGTATTTTCCACTTTTATGGAGATTTAATTTACTTTGGCCTTTGGCTTTTTGTTCCTTTCTAAGATCAGGCGATGGGAAACTATGCTTAAAATGTTACTGCACTTTTAGGGAATCGCTTAAGGACTGCTCATATATTAGGGCTGCTCAAAACAACCAAACACATAATACCAAAGTTAAAAAAAAGAAATCTACCCTACCTTCAGAAAATTGGGGTCCTTCTTGCTCATATAAAAGGGATCATACTCTTTTGGATCATAATGTTCTATAAATGCATTTCCCTATAGCAAGGAAATAAAACGATACACAAGAACAAGAGGTGCACAGTTAATTTTGAGCATATCAGGACTTGAGAGTCAAACACATAGTATCATTCTTATGCTTGAAAGCAGCATCAGTGACAAATGCAAAAAGAAAGACAAGGCTACATTTTAAATTTAATTTATTCAAGCAATCAGGTATAGTGAAGGAAGGAATCTACTTAAAATTTGTAAGATCTTAATAAAGAATGTTGGAACACTAAAAGATTTGGGAATTTGTTTTTAAATGCTTACTAGTCAAACATCTCAGATTTTAAAAAAATGCTAGAAGAACAGCTATATTTTAGAGCTTCGCAAATAATCAAGTTCCAGAACAAAAGAAAAATATGTCCTGAAACTAGAGTCCAAATTATTTATTTTGTAAGTATAATTTTTTTTTTTTTTTGAGACAGAGTCTTGCTCCATCACCCAGGCTGGAGTACAGAGGTGTGATCTCGGCTCACTACAATCTGCACCTCACAGGTTCAAGTGATTCTCCTGCCTCAGCCTCCCAAGTAGCTGGGATTACAGGCACCCACCACCATGCCTGGCTAATTTTGTATTTTTAGGAGAGACGGGGTATCACCAGGCTGGTCTCGAACTCCCAACCTCAGGTGATCCACCTGCTTTGGCCTCCCAAAGTGCTGGGATTACAGGTGTGAGCCACACACCCACATTTTTTAACTTGATAATTAAAATTAATAATTACATGGGGAGGGCTGGGCACAGTAGCTCACACCTGTAATCCCAGCACTTTGGGAGGCCGAGGCAGGCAGATTACCTGAAATAGGGAGTTCGAGACCAGCCTGACCAACATGGAGAAACCCTGTCTCTACTAAAAATACAAAATTAGCCAGTGTGGTGGCACATGCCTGTAATTCCAGCTACTTGGGAGGCTAAGGCAGGAGAATTGCTTGAAGCCGTGAGGTGGAGGTTTGCAGTGAGCCAAGATCGTGCCATTGCACTCCAGTCTGGGTGACAAGAGTGAAACTCCATCTCGAATAATAATAATAATAACCACATGGGGAAAACACAGAAAAATGGTTCTAATGTAGACAATTAAATCTAATCTTCCTTTTCTCTCCTTTCCAAATGTCCTGGGTTTAAGAATACTTTATGCTATTATGTAACAGGGTATAGATGATACATATGTAGAGGGGACAGGGACAGACTGACTGAATGATTATAAATGAACAAAGATGACATTAGGTCTAAATCAACTGAAAAAAGCATCAAATGATCTCTTAGTACCTTTTTATTTACATGTTTTAAAAAGCCATCTAATTCCCCTTGCCTCCTTTTTTTAATCTTCTTATGTGAGCAAACTTTTTCTATAATTTTCTTCTGAAGAGGATCTGCCACACAGTCAACCCATCTTTTATATAACATCTCCTTTCTTCTTGCATTTAAGAAGGCATGATGTTGTAAATACTTATCTAGTTCCTAGTAAACAGTGGTAGAAAAGACAAATATATTATCCTAAAGCTTTCTTGTTCTAAAATTTTCCAAAACTTAAACTTCATAAGTTTAAATTACTCCTAAGAATAACCCACAGAGACATTCATTAATTCAATCGTTTCTTTGGCTTTAACTTCTACTATGTGACATACACTCTGCTGCAAACAAGGAAAACACAGGTATTTGGGGCAACATGCCTGCTCTCCCTGGGGAGAAAGACTAAAGAACAAATCAAAAGCAAGGCAAGGTGGCGCCTGCCTATATTTCCAGCTACCTGGGAGGGTGAAGCTAGAGAATCACTTGAGCCCAGGACTTCAAGGATGCAGTACACCATGACTGGGACACTGCACTCTAGCCTGGGTAACAGAGTGAAAACCCATCCCTAAGAAACAAACAAACAAAATCACAAACAGTGGGAGGGGGAATATAGCAAGATGTATATTTATATATGATGGATATATGTATGGCATACTATAAATAAAATAACTGAAGACAGAGGAGAGAAAAACCATTTGCTAGATTCTTAAAAGATTCCCAGTTTGGTGGGCCTCAGAAATTTAAACAGACCTACCATAAGACCCAACAATTCCACTCCTACCCAAATGAATGAAAATCCAGGCTCAAATAGATACTTGTACACCAATGTTCATTGCGGCATTATTCACAATAGCCAAAAGGTGGAAACGATCCAAGTATCCATCAAGAGATGAACAGATAAAATGTGGTATATACATACCACATTTATTTATATGTGTAATATGGAATATTATTCAGCCACAAAAAGGAATGAAGTTCTGAAACATGCTACAACATGGATGTACTTTGAAAAGAGTATGCCAAAGTGAAATAAGTCAGACACAAATGGACAAATAGTACAGGATTCCACATATACGAACTATCTGGAATAGCCAAAATTCATAGAGCCAGAAGGTAGATTAGAGGTTACCAAGTGCCTGGGGGAGGGAGAAATGAGGAGTCACTGCTTATTGAATACAAACTGTCAGTTTGGAGTAAGGAAAAAGTTTTGGAAATAGTGGTGATGGTTGCACAACATTATGAATGTGATTAATGACACCGAATGGTACACTTAAAATGGTTAAAATGGCAAATTTTATATTGTGTATATTTACTTTTATATCGCATACACTGAAAAAAATGATTAATTTTTTTTCAAAGCCAAGACTCCCAAAGTGGGAGACATTTGGGCTGGGCCTTTAAGAATGAGGATTTACACTAGGTGCGGTGGCTCACGCCGGTAATCCTAGCATTTCAGGAGGCCAAGGCAGGAGGATCACATGAGCCCAGGAATTCAAGTCTAGCCTGGGGAAAATAGTCAGACTCCGTCTCTACAAAAAAATTAAAACTTGGCCAGGCGTAGTGGCAATCCCACGCCTGTAATCCCAGCACTTTGGGAGGCCGAGGTGGGCAGATCACTTGAAGTAAGGAGTGTGAGACCAGCCTGGCCAATGTGGTGAAACCACGTCTCTACTAAAAATACAAAAGTTAGCCGGGCATGCTGGCACGTGCCTATAATCCCAGCTACTTGGGAGGTTGAGGCAGAATTGCTTGAACCCGGGAGGTGGAAGTTGCAGTGAGCCGAGATCATACCATTGCACTCCAGCCTGGGCAAAGAAGTAAGACTCCGTTTCAAAAAAAAATTAAAACTTAGCTAGGCTCCGTGGCTCACACCTGTAATCCCAACTAATTGGGAGGCTGAGGCAGGAGAATCACTTGAGCCCAGGAGGCCAAGGCTGCAGAGAGCTGTAATTGTGCCACTGCACTCTAGCCTGGGTGACAGAGTGAGACCCTGTCTCAAAAAAAAAAAAAAAAAAAAAAAAAAGAAGGGTTATCCAGGAAGAGAAGGGATGGCAGAAAAAGAGGAAGAAAAACATTCTATGGAAAAAAAAAAAAAAAAAACCCTTCACTATAACTGACCTTCAGAAAAAAAAAAAGGCAAGAGTAAAGAGGCAGAAGTGTGGCATAACCTAATCCAAGTGGCAAGTAGCCTGCAAAGATGATGCTTGATTAGGCTACAAACTAATTCATTCTCACTAAACCTTCTCATTCACCTTTCATATAGCAAATAAAGTCATGTGACTACTAGGAAGAGCGTGAAATTCAAAATGAAATAAATAAAATATTAAGAACCCTGAGAGGTCTGCTAGGCCGAGTCCCTCCCTAACCTCTGGCCATAGCACACTTCAGCCATTCCCAATGTTAGTTCCTTTCCTTTTTAAAGAGCTCTAAAGAAATTTCTTAAAAATAAAAACAGGTTACCCACTCCAGTGTCCCTGGTGTTTAGTACACTTCACATGGATGTTCTTCTTGTCACATTAAGCCCATCCTGGCTCAGTTAAACCCTGTTCTATGTATATCTGAGTAATAATTAGTCAGTGTGTTCTGCTAACAGCTCTTAAGGGTTAGCTCATTTATAGTGACTGCTGAAACCCACTAAGACAAAGAAACAAGTGAGTAGAGGAAAATTTCTGTGCCTCTCTGCAAAGGAATTCCCACAAAGTATAGGAAGGGAGGAAGTCCATTAGAGCAATTTCAGAGATCCCTTAAGGTTAATTCCAGGTGCAAGGGAGTGTTCTTTTAATTCTTTTTTCCATATTTTCTAAATAGTTTTTATAGAATATGCTACATATAAAAAGGAAAAACTACATTTAATTTTTAACTGAGATGCATTTTGTAGCCAATTCTTACCTTAATTACAGAATTTTCTTTGTATAATATTGATTGAATAGCTGCCTCAGTATCTTCTTTAGCTAAAACCTGAAAGGACAGAATTAAACTTTGAAAAGAAAATCTTTAAAAACTATTAGTGCTATCTGGAATCATTATATTTAGCATGACAGACATATCCCTGGAAAGTTCTCTATGCATGCAGTTTGTTTCCTCCAAATCATATCATCGAGTGCTTTTTTTTGTTTGTTTCTTTGAGACAGAGTCTTGTTCTGTCGCCTAGGCTGCTGGAGTGCACCAGCACCATCTCGGCTCACTACAACCTCCACTTCCAGGGTTCAAGCGATTCTTGTGCCTCAGCCTCCCAAGTAGCTGGGATTACAGGTGTGCAACACATGCCTGACTAATTTTTGTGTTTTTGATAGAGACGGGGTTTTGCCATGTTGGCCTCGCTGGTCTCAAACTCCTGGCCTCAAGTGATCTGCCTGCCTCAGCCTCCCAAAGTGCTGGGATTACAGGCCTGAGCCACTGTGCCCAGCCCATCAAGTGCTTTTTAAACAGTATTTCGATCTGTCTGCTCTTGGCTACACCAAAATATAACTCAGCTCACAGACACTTTGAGTCCCAAAATGTTCAAATGTCTTTTCCAGAGTCACATGGTAGTTACAATCCATCTTTTTTCACTTCCTATAAAATGCTTTTACTTTTCTGGGTTAAAATAGATTAAATTAGGCCTCTATTTGAGGCTTTTTGACTATGCAAGACATACTAATCTTCCAGCCTTGATTCTTACAGAACTAGTTAAGAATATGTCAACAGTTTCACTAAAAGCTTAGTGCCACCTAAGGCAAACTCTATACATAGAAGAAATGTCACTAGTGAACAATAATACAAGGTCTTAGAAAGACTTTCTATTCAATCTCCTGTTCTTTTTCGTGTTCTTCCATAATGAATTCACCCACTAATTTTGTTTTTGAAAATTACTGAAACATAAGCCTATGGATATAATAAATCAAGGAAATGAGTTATATTTTTATCCATTAACTCACAACTGTCTATAAAATGTAAAATTATAATTAAACAAGTAATTAGATCTTCTCAAAATGAAAGCTCTTATTAAAATAAAAGGAAACATATTCATTTAATTTTTCCATGACAATTGACAAATTACCCAAAAGACTGAAACAAATTTCTTAGACAGTATTGACATAAATATAATTGGAACAAATTTATTTATCATTAGTGAATATGGCTATCAAATAAATATTAATAAATTTTATTTTTAATGTACTTATTTTGGAGACAGTCTTGCTCTGTCACTTAGGCTAGAGTGTAGTAGTATGATCATAGCGCACTGTACCCTCAAACTCCTGAGCTCAAGCAATGCTTCTACCTCAGCCTCCCAAAGTGCTAGGATTACAAGCATGAGCCACCATCATGCCCAGTCAAATCCTATTTTTATATACAAGTCACATTTTCAGATTTTGAAATAACACAATCTTTAGGGAACAGTGATATTAGTGACAAAATTATGACAGCATTAATTTTTCCATTTTTATAACAAATGTTCCACAATTATTAAATACCTGCCAGAAAATGGAAGCAGTTGATTTCTAGCACAGAATTGCCTTTGAGATCCTCATGTAATTACATACAAATAAAATATTCTCAAGTTAACTGTCAGTGAAAGTAGTTGTCTTCAGTCCCACTGCTTTTATTTCCAGGACAGATGAGTAAAATCTCATTATCTAAGAACTGTCCTTCCCCATTAACATCCAAAGAAGCCAAGGCTCATGGGAGCTAAGCAACAACTAGAAGCATAGAAAACTCAAATGAGTCTACTCTAGTTTGTTTTCTTTGTTATTTTTGCCTCATAGAGTTGCCCTTCCTGGAAAGTCTGTACTCAGATAGGGGGTAGTGAATTAACATTCCAGATAAAAAATATAAAAAACAACAACCTGAAGACACTGGAGAGTGATCAAAAAGCAGGAAGTTACTGAATGCTATTCAACACCAAGAAAAAAAAACAGCACTAGATGAATTTCCAGTTTTTTATTAACTTGCCTGAGAAAGGGCCTTAGTCTGAGGTAAAGGAGGTGGCTAAAACTCAGATAGAAACATGCGGCCTAACTGGTTCAGGAATTAGAAGACAGAGTTTGGGGTAAGCATGGGAGCTGGAAGGTGAGAGGAAAAATACTGGAAAAGAGGGAGCCAAAGAAAGGATGCCACAAATTCTGCAAAAGAACTCTGACCAAATATCTGGCAAACTCTTGAACTGTATATGCATAAGGCAGACTCCATGTAGCCCAGCTTAAGATAAAAAAAGACTAAACCGTGACTTCATCTGCTGCCAACTTCAGGAAAGACAAGTTTGGAGATTGAGTTCAGCAAAGATAACTGCTTCCTAAAACAAAAGCTCAATATTCTTCAGAGGAATATAACAGAATCCAGACCCTCCACAATGTATCATTCATAATGTCCAAAATGTAATCTAGAATTACTAGATATATAAAGAAACAGAAAAATGTGATCCACACTTAAGAAAAAAACAATCAATGGAGACCAACTCTGAAATGACCCATATGTTGGAATCTAGAAGAAATGGATAAATTCCTGGACACATACACCCTCCCAAGACTAAACGAGGAAGAAGTCGAATCCCTGAATAGACTAATAACAAGTTCTGAAATTGAGGCAGTAATTAATAGCCTATCAACCAAAAAAAAAAAAAAAAAAAAAAAAAACAATCCCAGGACCAGAGGGATTCATGGCTGGATTCTACTAGAGATACAAAGAAGGGCTCGTACCATTCCTTCTGAAACTATTTCAAACAATTGAAAAGGAGGGACTCCTCCCTAACTCATTGTATGAGGCCATCATCCTGGTACCAAAATCTGGCAGAGATACAACAAAAAAAGGAAACTTCAGGCCAATATCCCTGTTGAAGTACAATGCGAAAATTGTCAATAAAATACTGGCAAACTGAATCCAGCAGCACATCAAAAAGCTTATCCACCACCATCAAGTTGGCTTCATCCCTGCGTTGCAAGGCTGGTTCCACATATGCAAATCAATAAACATAATCCATCACATAAACAGAATCAATGACAAAAACCACATGATCATCTCAATAGATACAGAAAAGGCCTTCAATAAAATTCAACATCCCTTCATGTTAAAAACTTTCAATAAACTAGGTATTGATGGAACATATCTCAAAATAATAAGAGCCATTTATGACAAACCCACAGCCAATATCATACTGAATGGGCAAAAGCTGGAAGCATTTCCTTTGAAAACCAGCACAAGACAAGGATGCCCTCTCTCACAATTCCTATTCAACATATTACTGGAAGTTCTGGCCAGGGCAATCAGGCAACAGAAATAAATAAAGTGTATTCAAATAGGAAGAGATGAAGTCAAATTGTCTCTGTTTGCAGATGACATGATTCTATATTTAGAAAACCCCATCATCTCAGGCCAAAAGCTCCTGAAGCTGATAAGCAACTTCAGCAAAGCCTCCGAATACAAAATCGATGTGCAAAAATCACAAACATTCCCTATACATCAACAACAGACAAGTAGAAAGCCAAATCATTAATAAACTCTCATTCACAATTGCTATAAAGAAAATAAAATACCTAGGAATATAGCTAACAAGGGATGTGAAGGACCTCTTCCAGGAGAACTACAAACCACTGCTCAAGGAAATAAGAGAGGACAGAAACAAACGGAAAAACATTCCATGCTCATGGATAGGAAGAATCAATATCATGAAAATGGCCACACTACCCAAAGTAATTTATAGATTCAATGGTATTCTCACCAATCTACCATTGACATTCTTCATAGAATTAGAGAAAACTACTTCAAATTTTATATGAAACCAAAAAAGAGCCCATATAGCCCAGACAATCCTAAGCAAAAAGAACAAAGCTGGAGGCATCACGCTACCTAACTTTAAACTATACTACAAGGCTACAGTAATCACAACAGCATGGTACTGGTACCAAAACAGACATATAGACCAATGGAACAGAATGGAGACCTCAGAAATAACACCATACATTTACAACCATCTGATCTTCGACAAACCAGACAAAAACAAGCAATGGGGAAAAGATTCCCCTTTAATAAAGAATTCCTTTAATAAAAGCATTCCCTATTTAATAAATGGTGCTGGGAAAACTGGCTAGCCATATGCAGAAAACTGAAACTGGACCCTTTCCTTACACTGTATACAAAAATTAACTCAAGATGGATTAAAGACTTAAATGTAAAACCCAAAACCATAAAAACCCTAGAAGAAAACATAGGCAATAACATTCAGGGCATGGGCAAAGACTTCATGACAAAAATGCCAAAAGCAATTGCAACAAAAGCCAAAATTGACAAATGTGATCTAATTAATCTAAAGAGCTTCTATACAGCAAAAGAAACTATCATTGGAATGAACAGGAAACCTACAGAATGGGAGAAAATTTTTGCAATCTACCCATCTGACAAAGCTCTAATATCCAGAACCTACAAAAAACAAACAAGTTTACAAGAAAAAAAAATCAAAAAGTGGGCAAAGGATATGAACAGATGCTTCTCAAAAGAAGACATTTACATGGCCAACAAACACATGAAAAAAATCTCAACATCACTGATCATTAGAGCAATGCAAATGAAAACCATAATGAGATACCATCTCATGCCAGTCAGAATAGTGATTATTAAAGTCAAGAAACAATACATGCTTGTGAGGCTGTGGAGAAACAGGAGCACTTTTACACTGTTAGTGGGAATGTAAATTAGTTCAACCATTGTGGAAGACAGTGTGGCGATTCCTCAAGGATATTAGAACCAAAAATACCATTTGACGCAGCAATCCCATTTCTGGGTATGTACCTAAAGGAATATAAATCATTCTACTATAAAGACATCTGCACATGTATGTTTATTGCAGCACTATTTACAATAGCAAAGATATGTAACCAACCCAAATGCCCATCAATGATAGACTGGATAAAGAAAATGTACATATACACCATGGAATACTATGCAGCCATAAAAGGGAATGAGATCATGTCCTTTGCAGGGACATAGATGAAGCTGAAAGCCATCATACTCAGCAAACTAACACAGGAACCAGAAAACCAAACACCGCATGTTCTCACTCATAACTGGGAGCTGAACAATGAGAACACATGGACCCAGGGAGGGGAACAACACACATCAGGGCCAGTCGAGGGCTGGGGGTGAGGGGAGGTGAGCATTAGGACAAACAGCTAATGCATGCAGGGCTTAAAACCTAGATGACAGGTTGATAGCAAACCACCATGGCATATATATACCTATGTAACAAACCTGCACGTCCTGCACTTGTATCTCAGAACTTAAAGTAAAATAAGAAAAATAAAAAGAAAATTATATTGACATGAAAATCTGAAAAAAAGAAGACAAGGATTTGAGGACAGTTATGATAGCTATGCTTAAAAATATGCTTATAATTAATGAATAGAAAATCTTAGCAGAGAATAGAAATGATAAAAAACCAAGTGGAAAATACAGTTCTTAAATTTGAGAAATAAACAAACCTCAATGGGTTAGTAGCAGATTAGAGATGACATAAAAATAGTCAGTGAACTTGAAGACAGACTATTAGAAATTACCCAATCTGAAAAAAAAGGAAGAATAAAGATTAGAAAATAATAAACAGAGTCATAGTGACCTATGAGACAATATCAAACGATTCAGCAAATGGATAGAGTTGCAGAAGTGAGGAGTAAAAGAATGGAGCAGGAAACAACTGTTTGAAAAAATAATGTCTGGATGAGAACTTTCACTTTTGAACAAGACAGAGTAGCAGGAAACAGACTTACTCTCCCACCTGAAACAACTAAAAAAAAAAAAAAAAGATAAAATAGATGAAACAACAGTTTCCAAGATATCGAACATCAGGCAAAGAAGAACAGTGGCCCCTGAGAAATAGAAAACAAACAGCCCAACTGTCTGCCTGAATTGAGGAGTGGGGATGGGAGTCTGGAGAGGCCAGAGCAGTTGGAGTTCATAGGTTAGAGTACTAGAGGGAGGAGAGCTACAAGAAAGATGGAGCTCTGGAGAACTGCAAAGGGTCAACCGCAGAGGTCCCCTTGAGTCTTCAGCTGATCGTAAACACTACATGCCCAAAGGAACAATGGGCAAAGAAACACCTGCAAGAATTAGGGAATCAATCCCTAGAGGTCACACAGTCCCAGGAGTGTTTGTTCCCTTTAGCATCAGCCAGAGGAAAAAAAAAAAAATTCCCATAGTTTGAAGTGCATAGAGTAGAGTATTTGGAGAGGTTTTGTATCAGTACTGAAACAAAATTGGCCCTACGGTAGATACTGCTGTGGTCCTGTCAAGCAAAACTCGGAGGCAAGACCTGAAAGAATCCTGCTGTGTCCAAGTAACTTAACTGAATCCAAGGGGAAAAATGAAAAATATTTATGGGAAATCTGTGCACTTGTACTTAAAAAAAAAAGAGTATTTATAGCAAATCAAAAATATCTAGTACTCAATATGGTTAAAATTCACAGTCTTGCATTTAATCAAAAATCATCAGGCATACAAAGAAATAGGAAAATTTAACCAATAATCACCAGGTATACAAAGAAATAGGAAAATTTAACCAATAATAAGAAGGAAAATTAACCAAAACTGCCCCCAAAATGACAAAGACACTATAATTATTAAACCAGGACATTAAAAGTTATTATTCCTGTAGTTCATAAGTTAGGGAAGCTAGAAGACTAGACATGTTGAGACAGAAAAAAATGTTTGAAAAAGAGCTAAGGGCCAGGCATGATGGCTCACACCTGTAATCCCAGTGCTTTGGGAGGCCAAGGTAGGAGGATCACTTGAGGCCAGGAGTTCAAGACCAGCCTGGGCTACATAGAGAGATCCCGTCTCAACAACAACAACAACAGCAACAAACCAACAAAAAACGAAACAAAAGAATCCAGATAAAACTTCTAGGGACACAAATTATACTTGAGATAAAAATATGCTAGGTAGGTTTATTAGCAGATTAGACATTACAGAAAGTTAGTGAACTTAAAAGCATAGCAACAGCAGCTTTCCAAAATGAAATGCACGGGGGAAAAACTGAAGAAAATTACCAGAATATCAGTGAGCTACAGGACAATTTCAAGCAGGTTATTGTACATACAGTTGTATTTCCCAAAAGATGGAGGGAATAGAAAAAATAATTTAAGAAATAGGCCAGGCACAGTGACTCATGCCCGTAATTCCATCACTTTGGGAGGCCAAGGCAGGCGGATCACTTGAGGCCAGGAGTTCAAGATCAGCTTGGCCAACATGGTGAAACCTCAACTCTTCTAAAAATACAAAAATTAGCTGGGCATGGTGGTGCACATCTGTAATCCCAGCTACTCGGGAGGCTTAGGCACAAGAATTGCTTGAACCCGGGAGGCGGAGGTTGGAGTAAGCTGAGATCATGCCACTGCACTGCAACCCGGGTGATAGAGTGAGACTCAGCTGAAAAAAAAAAAAGAAATAATGGCTGAAAATTTTCCAGATTTGTCAGAAACTATAAACCCACAGATACAAGAAGTTCAATGAACTCTGAGCAGTGGAGAAATTGTAACTTTCATACATTGCTATGAAAATTTAAAACGGTATCACTGCTGTGGGAAACAGTTCAGCAGTTCCTCAAAAAGTTAAACATATAGTTACCATATGACCCAACAAACAATTCCACTCCTAGGTTACATACCCAAGAGAACTGCAATCATGTTACCTAAAAAGTTACACAAAATGTTCATAGCAGCATTATTCATAACAGCAAAAAAACAGAAACAACCCAAAAGTCCATCCACTGATGAAGGGATAAACAAAATGTGATACTGAGACAATGGAATATTATTTGGTCATCAAAAGGAATAAAGTACTGCTTATGCTCTGACACGGACAAACCTTGAAAACATTATACTAAGTGAAAGCAGTCACTAAGGACCACATATTGTATGATACCATTTGTATAAAATGTCCAGAGTAGACAAATCTGTTTAGACAGGAAGTAGATCAGTGTTGCCAGGAGCCAGAGAGGGAGGGGAATGGGGGGTGACTGCTAAAAGGTGTGAAGTTTCTTTTTGGGGGTGATGAAATGTTCTGGAATTAGATAGTGGTGACAGTTGCACGGATTTGTGAATATACTAAAAAACACTGAAAATAAAAATTCTGAATTTAAAAAAAAATAAAAAACACTGAATTGTACACTTTAGAGTAGTGAATCTTGGCCGGGCGCCCGGTGGCTCACGCCTGTAATCCCAGCACTTTGGGAGGCCGAGGCGGGCAGATCATGAAGTCAGGAGATCGAGACCATCCTGGCTAACGTGGTGAAACCCCTCTCTACTTTTTTTTTGTAAAAATACAAAAACAAAAATTAGCCAGGTGTGGTGGCAGGCACCTGTAGTCCCAGCTACTTGGGAGGCTGAGGCAGGAGAATGGCGTGAACCGGGGAGGCAGAGTTTGCAGTGAGCTGAGATCACGCCACTGCGTTCCAGTCTGGGCGACAGAGCAAGACTCTGTCTCAAAAAAAAAAAAAAAAGTAGTGAATCTTATGGCATGTAAATTATATCTCAATAGGAAGAGTCCAACAGTAAGAATACAAACAACCCAACTTAAAATTGCCAATTTTAAAGTGGGCAAAAGATTTGAACAAACACTTTGCCAAAGAAGATAGATAAATGGCAAGTAAGACTTGAAAAGATGCTCATAATCAGTCATTAAGGAAATGCAAATTAAAACCACAATGAGATGTCACTATACATCTTTTTAAAATGTCTTGAGTTAAAAAGGCCATACAATAAATCAGTATAAATAAAACTATTCCAAATGTTGGCTAGATTATGAAACAACTGGAACTCTCACACACTACTAGTGGGAATGTAAAATAATTCAATGACTTTGGAAACTAGTTTGGCAGCTTCATAAAGTTAAATTCATTTACCATATGACCCAGTCACTCCACAACTAAATATCTACCCAAGAGAAATGAAAGCATACGTCCATACAAAGACACACACATGAATGTTCATAACAGCTTTATTTGTAATAGCCCCAAACTGGAATCAACCCAAATGTCCATAAACAGGATGAACAAATTGGGATATATCCAGATAAGGGAATAGCATTCAACCAAAAAAGGAATGAAGTATTGATACATACAACATGGGTGAGTGGCAAAATAATTATGATGAGTGAAAGAAGACAAACAGAAGGAAAAGAAATATATACTGTAAGATTCCATTTGTATACAATTTTTAAAATGCAAACTAGAGTGACAGAAAGCAAAGCAGGCTGGGCGCAGTGGCTCACACCTATAATCTCAGCACTTTGGGAGGCCGAGGCGGGCAGATCACTTGAGGTCAGGAGTTTGAGACCAGCCTGGCCAACATGGTGAAACCCCGTCTCTACTAAAAATCCAAAAAAATTAGCCAGGTGTGGTGGCGCAGGCCTGTAATCCTAGCTACTCAGGAGGCTGAGGTAGGAGGATCACTTGAACCCGGGAGGTAGAGGTTGCATTGAGCCGAGATCACGCCAGTGTTTTCCTGGCTGAGTGATAGAGCGAAAGAAAGAAAAGAAAAAGAAAAGGAAAGAGAGAGAAAGAATGAAAGAAAGAGAAAGAAAGAAAAGCAGTGGTGGGGGGATGTGAGGGAGGGATTACAACAGAATATTAAGGAAGCTTTGGGAGTACTGAATATGTCCACCATCTTGATTGTGGTGATGTTTTCGTGTGTATACATGTCAAAACTTACCAAGTTTGTACACTTTATTTGAGACAGGGTCTTATTCTGTCACCCAGGTGGGGATGCAGTGGCACAATCACAGCTCACTGCAGCCTCAAATTCCTGGGGTCAAGCAATCCTCCTGCCTCAGCCTCTCAAGCAGCTGGGACTATAGGTGTATGCTACCACACCTGGCTATTATTGTTCGTTCGTTTGTGGAGACAGGGTCTCAGTATATTGCTCTGCCTGGTCTAGATAGAACTCCTGGGCTCAAGCGACCCTCCCACCTCAGCCTCCCAACGTGCTGGGATTACAGGCATGAGGCACAGTGCCAGACACACACTTTAAATATATGCAGTTTACTGTATATCAATTACATCTTAATAAAGCTGTTTAGAAAAAAGAAACTACAATCTAAAAACAATATAACTGGCTGGGCGCAAGGGCTCACAGCTATAATCCCAGCATTTTGGAACACCACGGTAGGTGGATTGCTTGAGCTCAGGAGTTGGGGACCAGCCTAGGCGACACAGTGTAGAGATTTTTTGTATCTCTACAGAAAATACAAAAATTAGCCAGACATGGTGGCGTGCGCCTATACTTCCAGCTACTAGGGAGTGGAAGGATGGCTTGATTCCAGGAGGAAACATAGCAAGACCCTGTCTCAAATATAAATAAATAAATAAATACATCATATCAAAATTTGGGTGATGCAGCTAAGGCAGTACCTCAAGAGAAACTTATAGCTATGTTACATTTTAAAAGGTATATAATCAATGACCTATGATTCCACCTTAAGATGTTAGAAAAAAACAGCAAAGTGAATATACAAAGTTAGTAAAGTGAAGGGAATAATAAACAGAATGAAATAAAAACAAACAATAGAAAAAACAATATATTTAGCACAAGCCACTTCCTACTGCAACGATCCAAGTAAAAAAATCTCCAAATCCCACACTATTTGATATATACCTCCATAAAACAAAGGGGCTTGGGCTCCAACCATTCTTTTGAGCTCTTGAGCTTGGGAAGTGTGCCAGTTACCAGATCATCACTGTCTACATTTTTCATTGTGGTCACAAATAACAATGCCCCTGGAAAAACTAAAAATCATCTTATTTAGTATTGAACATTTCACAGTCATCTGATTTTCTCTTCTGTTTAATACCACCTGTGTCCTTGCACACACGCAAAATGGATTTTGAACACTAACCATCCAGTTTCCCTAACAAGAGGCCTTCACTACAGACTCCAGATGACGGCTTCAGAGCCAGCCTCCTTTATAAGCAGGCGAGATGCTCTTTGAAAGAATCCCCCGTCCCTTGGAATGGATTCCCACGTCCCCCTCCAAGGCAGCCCATTCCAGCCAGTGTGGCAGCTTCAGCCTGGCCTCTCGGAGTCCCATTTGCAACACTTTTCTGACTTTGGTGGCCTCGAGTGGGAAGAACTGCAACTTTCTGGCCACAGAAACACAGGCTGAGCTGCTTAGAGAAGGCAGGGAGGGGCTTTCGGTCATACTGCGCGAGTCTTCGAGCTCTGAGCGGCTCGAAGTCCTCCCCGAGGCACGGGTGCGACGGGGATGTCGTAGGCGTCCGCACCCGCTCTCGCTCATCGCGCCCACTCCCGGCCCTTCCTCCCACCCACTAGGCCGGGCGCCTGCGGCCTCCACGCCAGCCCCGGGCCGGGGGCCTCCCGCGCAGGCGCGTCGTGCGCGGGGACCGCCCGGCCTGGCGGGGAGGTCGCCGGCCGCGACAGGCACCTCTCTGCCCTCCCAAGGCCAGCAGGCCCGCGGCCGTCCTGCTACACACTCGGGCCCGGCCCGACGACCCCGGAGCCGTCCGACTGCGGCTGGAAGGGAGCCCGCCCGCGTCTGCGGAACGCGCGAATGTTGGCGCCCACCGTCTCCCGGACGCAGCGCCGCGCGAGCACTCCGCCCCCTGCGCCGCGGGTTCCACAGCGAGTCCGCGCGGGCGGTGCCGGGGCGGCGGAGGACGGCTTCAGGCCCAAAGGGGATTGGGCGGCGGCTCTAGGTGGCGGGTCTTGGTTTGCGGAAGGGGCTGGAGTCGCTGCTTCTCGGTGACCGGCGCGTGGCCCGGCCAATCCTGCCGCCGCCACCCACCCGCAACCGCGTCCGTTGACGGTCGGGTCCTTGGTCGCCGGGTCCTTGCGGGCACCACAGAGCGGGGTGGCGTCCGCTCCCTCGAGTCCTCGGTGCCAGGGAATTCACCGCTCACCACCCCCTGCCCCGCCTTGGGTCCTGCTCGGGGACCAAACCACTGGAAGGCAGTGGCGGGAAACGGGCGCCTGTGCCGGAGGTCCTGATGAGGGGGGTCCAAGGCTTGGGGACTTGTGCGGGAAATGTGGGTTTAAGTGCCTTCAAGGTGTTTTTAGTCCATTGGGATGTTGATCAGCGTTCATAGCTGGCGCTGATGCAGGTCACCGGGAAGGGAATGTGTGGGTTTATGGCCACGCATAATCTCTTTTAGTCGTGTTTAACTTAGCAGGGTAGCTCTCCATCCTGGCTGGGTTTTGTTTTTTGTTTTTATTTTTTATTTTACAGAGTTTTTCTCAGTGTGTAATGTTTGTTTTTAAATCGCAGATAATCCTGATGTAAACCATTGACATAGCCAGAAAATCACCAGGCTGTGATTTTCCAAACTCAGCTTCATAACCTATTCTGTGTGAGCTGTGATTTTTCTATGATTCTGTTTTCCTCTTTGGGTACTGGTGGGCCCTGAATGATGGACCACCGTTTTCACCCTGTACCTTTTCAAAGTACACTTGCTGATCTTAGAACTGTCTGCAGTGTCTTAAGGACATTTGTATTCACATGCCTTTTAAAAGCTAGCCAGAGTCAATGGCTTCAACTGCACTTTCCCTTTCAGAGTTGAGGGAACATGAGCCATTTGCAGAGCTTATTGTTAGACACCCTCTTGGGAACCAAGCATGTGGACAGTGCAGCCCTCATCAAAATCCAGGAGCGGAGCTTGTGTGTAGCATCACCAGGTTTCAATGTAAGAAAAAACAAGTTTGGACCTAAGACTTGATTTACTTATTATTTCTATTCTTCCAAAAAATGAAGCAGACATGACTTTTTTTTTTTTTTGAGACGGAATTTCACTCTTGTTGCTTAGCCTGGGATGCAATGGCATGATCTCAGCTCACTGCAACCTCCGCCTCTCAAGCGATTCTTGAGCCTTAGCCTCCCGAGTAGCTGGGATTACAGGAGTGCGCTACCAGGCCCGGCTAATTTTTGTATTTTTAGTAGAGATGGTGTTTTACCATGTTGGTCAGGCTAGTCTCAAACTCCTAACCTCAGGTGATCCACCTGCCTCGGCCTCCCAAAGTGCTGGGATTACAGGCATGAGCCACCGTGCCCAGCCCAGACATGACTTTTAAATGAACTTTTTCTGTAAAGAGCTACATAAATATTTTAGGTTTCTAGGCTTAGTCTTTTTACTGTTGATATAAAGGAATACCTGAAGCTGGGTAATTTATAAAGAAAAGAGGTTTATTTGGCTCACAGTTCTACTGCCTGGAAGACTGGTCATCTGTGAAAGCCTCAGGCTGCTTCCACTCATGGCAGAGGTGAAGGGGAGCCAGCATGTGCAGAGATCACAGTGGGGGAGAGGAAGCAAGAGAGAGCAAGTGGAGAGGTGCCAGGCTCTTTCTAAGAGCCAGCTCTCCTGGAACAAATACAGTGAAAACTCACAGCTTCCCCCAGCTCGCAGGGAGGGCATCAGTCTATTCATGATCCAAATACCTCCCATTAGGCCCCACCGAAAACGCTGGGAATCAGATTTCAACATGAGATTCAAACTATAGCACAGGGCCGTAGAGTCTCTGTCACAACCACTCAACTCTGCAATTGTAGAGGAAAAACAGCCATACATAAAAGAATGAATGTGACTGTGTTCCAATAAAATTTTATATTTATGGATACTGAAGTTTGAATTTCATATAATTTGTAAGTGTCACGAAGTGTTATTCTTTTGATTTTTTTTCCCCAACCATTTAAAAACATGAAAACCATTCTTAGCTTGCAGGCCATAAAAAACAGGTAGTGGGCTAAATTTGGCTGGCCACCAGCCATAGTTGGCTGACTCCTGCTCTAACCATGTAACCTCTCCAGGTAACGCCCAGTGATGTCCGAACACTGGTGAATGGATTTGCCAAGAACCCTTTGCAAGCCCGAAGAGAAGGACTGTATTTCAAGGGAAAAGATTACAGATGTGTCCGGGCAGATGAATATTCTCTTTATGCCAAAAATGTGAGTGCTCAAGATTTGAAGAGAGCTGAGTAAAAGAAAAGAATTTGCCTCCAAATTTCCTTGCTCTGCCTGATCCTTTCTGTAAAACAGATTAAATCCATTAATGTCTTGAGCCATTGTCTTGAGATAGCAGTCTAGTGCCAGGAAGACATATGTGAAAGAAAGTCCTATCAAGAGCCTGGTTTTGAGAAATGTTCATTCCAGAATCTATTAACTGAGCCTTGCCTGAACTCTTTCCAATACAGTCCCACCTTCATACTCTACATCCTCCTTTAAAAAAAAAAAAAAAAGAGATAATCATTTCTGTGCTTAAAACATTTCTCAGTGGCCAGGCACAGTGGCTCACACCTGTAATCCCAGCACTTTGGGAGGCTGAGGTCAGGAGTTCAAGACCAGCCTAGCTAACATGGTGAAACCCTGTTTCTACTAAAAATACAAGAAAATTAGCCAGGTGTGGTGCGCCCTTGTAATCCCAGCTACTTGGGAGGCTGAGGCAGGAGAATTTCTTGAATCCAGAAGGCAGAGGTTGCAGTGAGCCGAGATCGTGCCATTGCACTCCGGCTTGGGCAACAAGAGCGAAATTCCATCTCAAAAAAAAAATTTTAAAAAAAATCAGCTCTCTGTTGCTTATAAGGAATGAAAGAGATGAAAATCATTCATTGGATGCCCTATATTATGGGTTAGGCATGCTGCTTCATCCACATTATAAACTAAATAATCTCATTTTACAGATGAGGACACTGAGGCTTAACAAGGTTAAATAACCCTTACTCATGCAGCAGAAAAGGAGGCACTAGAATTCAAGCCCAGAGCTGTCCAATTCCAAAATGTACGACCTTTCCATTACATCAGTTTTGTTTTGTTTTGTTTTGTTTTGTTGTTGTTTTTTTTTTTGAGACGAGTTTCACTTTTGTCGCCCAGGCTGGAGTGCAATGGCACGATCTCGGCTCACTGCAACCTCCACCTCCTGGGTTCAAGAGATTCTCCTGCCTCAGCTTACCGAGTAGCTGGGGTTACAGGCGCCTGCCACCACGCCTGGCTAATTTTTGTATTTTTAGTAGAGATGGGGTTTCACCATGTTGGCCAGGCTGGTCTCAAACTTCCAACCTCAGGTGATCTTTCTGCCTTGGCCTCCCAAAGTGCTGGGATTACAGGCGGGAGCCACTGCACCCGGCCTACATCAGTTGTTCTAATTGGGATGGGGTATATGATAATCAATTGCAGAACTTTTTCAAAATCCATCTACCATTATTATAACAGTCTGAAACTTTTTGAGGAAAGGCAACTAAATTGGTGGAAAAGAGTGGACAGTCCAAAAACAGATATATAAACATATGGAAAATATATACGGAATATGTATATTCCATATATATTCCAAACATATGGAAATCAGGAAATGGTGAAAAACGTAGCTGGAGCATGACCACTGGTCCTGTGATTAGAACCAAGAGCAGAATATTCTCTTATATTCTTTATACAGGAGAACACTGGTGTGGTTGTCGTGAAGACCCATCTGTATCTTCTGGTAGCAACTTACACTGAGGGCATGTATCCTAGCATCTGTGTGGAAGCCACAGAGAGCCTGGGTAAGTTGGCCTCCTAGTTCCTGTCTTCATTCCCTATGTTAGTTGGGTCTTCCGACTACGAGTAACAGAGATCCAACTCAAACCAGCTAGGGCAGAAAGGAGGAATTTATTGGAAGGATGCTGAGGTTATTTACATAGCCACTGGAAGGACAGGGTGCAGCTGAGCCATGGGGAAGGTAGATTCAGGGACTGGAACACTGCTAGGATTCTGTCTTGACTTCTAAATGAGTCAGCTTTGTTCTGTCTCATAGCAAACTGTTTCCTTTCCTGGCTGATATCATGGCCAAGCCTCCCATAATACCCCTTAATTTCTCTTAGGACCCTGATTTGGCAAGTTTCAGGTCATATGGTTTACCCCTGTATCAGTCAGCTATGTAGGTGGGGCAGGATAGGGGAGGGGGGAGACAGCAGGGTAAAAAGGCAGAGATGTGGCTGCTGGGGGTCTACCCTATATAAAGAGACATTTTACAGGAAAAGGAATTACTGTGAGTCAGGCAGCCACTTTGTTGGTATATACTGCATTCCCCCTCCGTGTCTATACATTTTTGAATAAAGATCTCATAGAGAACTAGCTTGGGTATTATATCGGTGAGAGTTGAGCTTAATAAATGGTAAATTGTGTTTGTGTTTAGATTTTTCAAAATCTAAATTTAAATTTTAAAAAGTTTACTGGAGTTGCATAAACACTCCTTTGAAACAGAAGCCTCTAGTAACAAAAGCAGCCACTCATTCATTCATTCATTCATTCAACAAACATTCAGAGGTACTTACCATGTGCCCTGCACTATCCTAGATAAATTAGGGAAGCAGAGCTGGTTAAGATATAGCTTCTGCCTTCCATGCCTCTGTACATGCTGTTCTATCTGCCTAAAATATTTTCTGTTTCCTTCCTGTCCCTCACATCTATTCTGCAAATTCCTAATCATCATTAAAGAACCAAGTCAGATCTCAGGCTTCTATCCATTGTGGTATGTATTTTATGCATACCTTTATGATTATCCCCATTACAGTTCTTTGTTTATCTAGATTGTGAATCCCTGGAAGGCATTTGTCTTGTCTTAATCCTTCTTTTTCTCCATTACCTAACACAGTGTCTGATGTTGGGTAGGCAATTAGTACATGTTTGATGAATAAATCAATGAATTACTTCGGCCTAGCAGAGTCAGGGAAGGCGCCAGAGAGCTGAATCTTAAAGGGCCAATTGAGAAATTAAGTTTATCACAGAAACTATATACCTATGTACAGATATGCCTCATTTTATTGCATTTTGCATTATTGGACCCTTCCTGAACAGATGTCAGGATTTGAAGGAGGCTCCATTTCAGAATTGTAGGGCAGGAGCAGAGAGCAGAACAGAGACATAGAGAGCCAGGTTAATTATCTAATTAAAATAACCAGAATATGAGATTAGAAAGATGGGCAATTTGGCTGTCAGGAAGCCAGGCTCTTACCCTGTCAGCTAGGGCTCAGGGCTAATTCCCCAGAGGAGACCAGATAAATTGCCTGACTACTGTAATGTAGGTCATGTGGCTGGCACTAAAGGTTAGTATTCTTGCTTAGGGCCACAAAAAACTCCACAGACTCCAAAGAATGTGCCCTGGTTAGAAGTGCACTGCTGGCATCACGCCATTAATATCCCACTGCTCTGGGAAGGGACAGCTATCTTGGAAATGGTCGTATGATCAGGAAGGATGGACAAGGCTGATATCCACTCAGGAGCCAGTTGTCTTATGACTGACTTTTGTTTCCTTTACTCCTTTTTAAAAAAATATTTTTCTCTATCTAAAAAATTATACGTGATCATTGTAGAAAATTTGGGAAGTAAAGAATTACAGGCCAGATGGGGTGGCTCACACCTGTAATCTCAGCACTTTGGGAGGCCGAGGCAGGTGTATCACTTGAGGTCAGGAGTTCAGGACCAGCCTGGCCAACATGGCAAAATCCTGTCTTTACTAAAAATACAAAAATTAGCTGGGTGTGGTGGTGGGTACCTGTAATCCCTGCTGCTCAGGAGGCTGAGGCAGGAGAATCACCTGAACCCAGGAGGTGGAGGTTGCAGTGAGCCAAAATAGCGCCATTGCACTCCAGCCTGGGCGTCACAGCGAGACTCTGTCTCGAGAAAAAAAAAAAAAGAAGAAGAAGAACTATGACCATTTAAAAATTGTATTATGAAAGATTCTAGGGGCATGAATATTAATTAAAGAAAACCTTTAAATAGACAGGAAAAGGATGCTATGCTACTTCTGTCACACAAATTAATCAGGTTTGTGCAGTGGCTCACGCCTGTAATCCCACCACTTTGGGAGGCCAAGGTGGGTAGATCATTTGACGACAGGAGTTTGAGACCAGCCTGGAAAACATGGTGAAACCCCATTTCTACCAAAAATACATAAATTAGACCAGGTGTGGTGGTAGGTACCTGTAATCCCAGCTACTTGGGAGGCTGAAACAGGAGAATCACTTGAACGGAGAGGCAGAGGTTGCGGTGAGCCGAGATCGTGCCACTGCACTCCAGCCTGGATGACAGAGCGAGACTCTGTCTCAAAAAAAAAAAAAAAAAAATGCAGGATTGTTTTTAAAATAAATATATTAGAGAGTCACATTTGTAACATTGGTAAAATGTTAGCATCTTTAATTCTAGGTCCTTAGTTGTTTTTTGTTTATTTTGTGTTTCTGTTTTTCTTTTTCTTTTTTTTTTTTGAGACACAGTTTCATTCTATCAGCCAGGCTAAAGTGCAGTGGTGTGATATTGGCTCCCTGCAACTTCCAGGTTCAAGAGATTCAAGATTCAGCCTCCCAGGTTCAAGAGATTCTCCTGCCTCAGCCTCCCAAGTAGCTGGGACTACAGGTGCCTGCCACCACACAGGCTAATGTTTGTATTTTTAGTAGAGACGGGGTTTCACCATGTTAGCCAGGCTGGTCTCGAACTCCTGACTTCAAGTGATCTGCCCGCCTCAGCCTCCCAAAGTGCTGGGATTATAGGCGTGAGCCACTGCACCCGGCCAGGTCCTCAGGTTGAAAAAAGAATCTTAAGCATACGTTGTGACTTATTCTGCAAGACTCTGTATAAAAAAAAATGAAGTGCTACCTGGCATGGTGGAGTGCACCTGTAGCCCTAGCTACTCAAGAGGCTGAGGCAGGAGGATCAACTGAGCCCAGGAGTTTGAGCCCAGTGTGGGCAACATAGTGAGACCCCATCTTTAAAACGTGAGTACATCAAGTGCTGTAATCAGGTTTTGTTTTGTTTTGGAGACAGAATTTCGCTCTGTCGCTCAGGCTGGAGTGCTGTGGTGGGATGTCAGCTCATTGCAACCTCTGCCTCCCGGGTTCAAGCAATTCTCCTGCCTCAGCCTCCCAAGTAGCTGGGACTACAGGAGCATGCCACCATGCCTGGCTAATTTTTTGTATTTTTAGTAGAGATGAATTTTCACCATGTTAGCCAGGATGGTCTCGATCTCCTGACCTCATGATCAACCCACCTCGGCCTCCCAAAGTGCTGGGATTACAGATATGAGCCACCACACTTGGCCGTAATCAGTTTTAAGTCTAGGTCATAGAATACATATAGGAGAGGAGGGCAGCAGTTTCTTTTATTCTCCTGAGCCCTCTCTCACCCTGTTCCCTTTGCCCAGCCATATGCATTATTCATCCTTTTTTTTTTTTTTTTTTGCATGGGAACCCAATTCATACTCCAGGACAACTCAAATACCTCTACTATGGCACTTATTACCATGAAATAGAATTGATGTTTGTGTGTGCCTATATCCCCTACTAGACAGTGAACTCCATGAGGGCAGGAACTGTGTTTCAACTATCCAGTCACCCTTGTTTCTCCAGTACCTAGCACAGTGCCTAGCACATGGCAGTCACCTGGCAATGTTTGTGGAATAATAAATGGATGAATGAATCATTTGTAGTGATAATTTGCAGCTCATAAATAATAACCATGCTGTGTTTGCTTTCAGGAGACTACCTAAGAAAAAAAGGAAGTTAAGTCATCAGAGGCCCATGAAAGACAATTTTATTATTTTAGAAGAAAATTGAAGAGCCTAAAGAAAAAATATTTTATGGTTGAAAAAACACTAGACAGAAGGCACTAAAAAAGAAGAATGAATTAAGGGAGCAATTTTTATTACTTCCAGAGATCCTCTTCTTTCACTGGAATTACTTGATCAACTGTTTTTTAATAAGTGTTGGTCATCGGCATGGAATGAGAGAGCACTGATCATTTCACAGAGCATATCTATTGGGAGGCTCCTTTCTGTGAGGCTCTTGTACTCCTACACACCTTGCTAAGTATGCCAAGAATGCAAGGCTCTCACCACTCTTTATCCAAGACATTTCTCAGGGTTAGGTTGCAGCAAGCAACCTTGAAAAATGAAGGGATGTCTCCCATCAGGACAGAGAGCAAGCTTGCTTACTGTTTGCTATAAAAGCAGTGGAGTCCCTGAGCTCAGTGTTACCCCTCCTGTAATACAACTCCCTGCATGTGTGACATCTGTCTGGCTCACATCACCCCGGTGAGACTTGGGAGAAGGGATTGCAAAGGCCATTCAACAATGGACCACTAGTCAAGGTATTCAATGGACATTTCACACTCCCATTTGCAGGTATCTGGTATCATTTTGAACATTGGAAAGGCCTTCTCAAAAATCAACTCAAAAAGATTTCTGACTCTAACCCTAACTCTCACTGCACACCTTAGTAAGGCAGTATGGTCACTAAATGCACCCTTCCCCAGAAAGAGTTCATCTCCTCTTGGTCTCCTAGGTGATAATCTGGACCATAAGGGTGGAGAGCTATAGAACCTATTTTGAAAATTCAAGATTCTACACTGACTATTGCTAAACATGATGCATCTTTTTTTCCCTGACAACATCCTCAGGCCAGCCTGGTTGGTATACCCTTCAGATGTCCCTGGGGAGAGACCACCTTCGACTACTTAAAAAAAGACAGCCTAGGGAATTCAAATTTAATTCTGGTTCAGCTAGATTGGACTAACATGGTCCTATATCATGACGATAATGACTACTTAGTTAAGTACACTGTTCTCTAGATCCCTCTACAGGGTTCTACACAGGCCAAGATAGGATATAATGGTTCTCTTTAATTTTGCAAAAATGCCCCTGTCCCTCTTACATCTGACCCTTCCAGACAAGATGTCTGGAAGCAAGTAGGGCACGATTGGAGAAAAAGTATAGACATGGCTACTGGGATGGGACACACCAACTGCATGGCCACGGAGACCCTAGCACCTGGAGAGGGAACACATTCGATCTCAGGAGATTGGGAAACGGGAGCCCTTTCATGTTCTTTTTGTCCCCCAGATTCAGCATCTCCTTGTGGCAAACCCTAACTTACTAGCCTTTGTAAGTCAAGTAAAATCAAATCTTAGGTCCTTTATAGTTGTAATCAGGCAGTGAGGTACAGAATTCAAAATTCCAAAGACATGCCATCTAGGGCAGGATGTCTTTTGCTGGTATTTACAAAATTATCTCATTTTCAGCTCTGTATAATAGCCTTACACAGAACTTACTTCCAACATCATTCCTTTTCTGAGCTTGGATGGCCAAGTACCACAGATTTGTTTTTTTGTTTTTGTTTTAGTTTTTGATTGGTAGCCTTGCCACTAGTCCGTTCATCCATTATTTAGTCAGTAGTTTGATTCTTTTGGGGGTTTTGTTGTTGTTGTTTGTTTTGAGACAGAGTTTTGCTCTTGTCACCCAGGCTGGCGTGCAATGGTGCAATCTCGGCTCACTGCAACCTCCACCTCCAGGTTTCAAGTGAATCTCCTGCCTCAGCCCCCCAAGTAGCTGGGATTACAGGCACCCACTACTACACCTAGCTAATTTTTGTATTTTTAGTAGAGACGGGGTTTTGCCATGTTGGTCAGGCTGGCCTCGAACTCCTGACCTCAGGTGATCCACCCGCCTCCGCCTCCCAAAGTGGTGGGATTACAGGCCTCAGCCACTGTGCCCGGCCTGTTTTTTGTTTTTATTTTTGTTTTGAAACAGGGTCTCACTCCATAACCCAGGCTGGAGTGCAGTGGTGTGATCACAGTTAACTACAGCCTCAATCTCCTAAGCTCAAGCGATGCTTCCACTTCAGCCTCCCGAGTAGCTAGGGTTATAGGCACATGCCACGTGCAGCTAATTTTTAAATTTTTTGTAAAGATGGGGTCTCACCATGTTGCACAGGCTGGTCTAGAACTCCTGGGCTCAAGCAATCGTTCTGCCTCGGCCTCCCAAAGTGCTGAGATTACAAGAGCGAGACACTGCATCTGGCCTTTGATTCTTTTTGAAAAGAGATAACAGTAAATTTTAAATTAACTTATTTAGCATTCTTTGTAATAAGAACGTTAAATAAGTGTATTTAGATGTATTGTTTACTGTTGTATCACCACTACCTAGCACATAGTCGGCTTTGTGCTAGGTAGTAATGATACAACAGTAAATAATACATCTACCCCAAGACAGGCTCACAATTTAGTGGGGAAGGCAAGTTGTAAATGAGTCACATGACCACATGATAAATGCTGGAGCAGGTGTAAAACAACTACAGAGCACAGTCCTGAAGACTAACTGTGTCTTCAGGAACCTGAAACTAGCATTTGAAGTGCATTTGGAAGAAGAGTGAGTATGGAAGAGAGTAAAGAGTATTCCAGGCTGAAGGAGCACCAAATGCCAAGGCACAGAGTGATGAAAAGGCCTGTTGTGTGGAAAGAATGGTGAGAGGTTCCATGTGGCTGGAAAGCAGTACGTGGGAGACAGTGATCAATGAAAATGGGAAGATGGATAGAGCCAAAATAGAAAAGGCTACTCTCCTTGGAGTCACTCAGAAGACATCAAGCAGTGCTGTGGGGTAGACAGTACTTTTAGAAAACTATTAAATTAGGATTACAAAAGTAATATACACTCACTTTTATAACTTGGGAAAATAAGTTAGTCATAATTTCACATTAAGTGAAAATTTCTGGGCCCGGCATGGTGGCTCATGCCCATAATCCCAGCACTTTGGGAGACTGAGGCTGGCGGATCAGCTGAGGTCAGGAGTTTGAGACCAGACTGGCCAACATGGCAAAACCCCATCTCTACTAAAAAATACAAAAATGAGCTGGGCGTCATAGCAGGTGCCTGTAATCCTAGCTACTCAGGAGGCTGAGGCACAAGAATCGCTTGAACCCAGGAGGCGGAGGTTGCAGTGAGCCAAGATCGCGCCACGGCACTCTACCCTGGGCGACAAGAGCGAAACTCCACCTCAAAAAAAAAAAAAAAAAAAAAGATGAAAGCTTCTGGTGATGGTTTTGAGATTTTCTTCAGGTCTCTTTTGATGCACATAATATATACATTTTAACCTTACCTAGCCTTAATGCATAGAGTTGACATTCCACTATGTTCATTTAGCATGATGCTATGAGACCTTGAATGTCTTTAAATTGCTTCAAAAACATTTTAAATCGCTGCATATCATATAAACATTATATTGTTCTTTGTTAGATATTTAGATTATTTCTACTTTTTCACTTTGTAAGTAATATTACAGTTTAGAACTTTTACATAATTCTTTGTATCTCTGATTATTTCCTTAGGTCTGGAAGTGGAATTTCAGGGTCAGAATTTGAGCAAGTTTATGGCTCTCTGGAGTTTTTGTTTTGTCTCTTACAAGGAAGGAATTTTACACCATAGCTTGTAACATGCAGTTGAGGGGTTTTTTTTGGCAGATGGGAGTTGTATGTAATTCAGCTCTAATTTATCAGCCCCCTCTGCTTGTGGGGTGAGTCCGAAGCAGTCTTAGTGTCCCAGTGGGTGAGGATGAGAGGAAATACTGCAGACATTTGAACTAGCTGAGTCAGAGACTGGAGAAGCAGGTTACTCTTTAAATTCCAGTTAGTGCTAAATCATGGTGATGTTGGACAGTCACACCTCTGCAGTCCAGAGATGTACAATATAAAGATACTTGTGAGGTTTGCACGACAAGCCAGGAAGCATTTGAGGACTTCTAGCCACAACTCCAAAAGAGGACAGGGATGCCAAGGCCCAAAGCTAAACAAAGACTGAGCTATCAATACTTCAGGCTAAAATTAGGCTGTGTCATCAAAACAGAATGGACAGGAGCAGAGATATGCAAAGAATGGCTCTCAAGCCTGCAAGACTTGAACATGTGAACATATTGATATGTGTGTAGAAGGAATGTGTAACCACAAAAAAAATGGAAGTGGGGCCAGGTGCGGTGGCTCATGCCTATAATCCCAGCACTCGGGAGGCTAAAGCAGGTGGATTGCCTGAGCCCAGGAGTTCGAAATCAGCCTGGGCAACATAGCAAGATCTTGTCTCTACAAAAAATGCAAAAATAGCTGGGCATGGTGGCACACCCCTGTAGTCCCAACTACTCAGGAGGCTGAGGCAGAAGGGTTGCTTGAGCCCAAGAGTTTCAGGTTACACTGAGCTATGATCATGCCACTATATTCTAGCCTAGGTGACACGGCGAGACTCTGTTTCAAAAAAAAAAAGATCAGCCAGGAAGCTCAGATAAGAGTCACTGGAGTAAATGTTGGTTGGGCCCATTCAAAGTGGGAGGGTTTATGAGCAAACAATTTAAGTACCCTGGTAGTTTCCAACAATAATTCTTTGACCAAGTGTCCTACGATTCAATTTGACACTAGCTAACTGGAGTTAGTGTAGACCTCACAGGTTAAGGAGCTCAGTTCCCACAAGCCTGTCCCCACTACAGATGCCAAACACGAGTTCCAGGTCCCCAGGCTACCCGCACTACCCACACTTCTGTCTGACCTGGCTACAGATTTGGGGGGGGAGTCCCATGACTCATGATAATTTGCTGGAATGACTACAGAACTCATGAAAAGGCTACACTGCACTTACGATTGCAGTTTTCTTATAAAGGATGCAAGTCAGGAATAGCCAAATGGAGATGTATAGGGCGGGGGCACAGAACTTCCACACCTCTCCAGACACATGCGCCTCCCAGCACATGGAGGTGTTCGCCAGCCCAGAAGCTCTCTCTCCAAACCTTGTTGTTCCAGGGTTTTTATATGGGCTTCTGTTATGTAGGCATAATTGACTGAATCATCGGCTATATGATTGAACTCAATCCCCACTCACTTTTCCTCCCCAGAAGTCAGGAGATGAAGCTAAAAGTTCCAGCCCTCTAATCACAGGGTTGGTTCTTCTGGTGACCAGCCCCTGCCCTGAAGCTATCTAGTACCTATCCCCCATCCCAGAAATGGGTGACTGATAGGTGTTTTTTCTGATCCCCTCCCTCCTCCCACCCTCCACTCTCAAGCAGGCCCCAGTGTCTGTTGTTTCCCTCCTAGTATCCACGTGTTCTCCTTGTTTAGCTCCCACTTACAAGTGAGAACAGGTGGTATTTGGTTTTCTGTCCCTGTCTTAGTTTGCTAAGGATAATGCCTCCACCTCTATCCATGTTGCTGCAAAGGACATGATCTCATTCTTTTTATGGCTGCATAATATTCCATGATGTATATATACCACATTTTCTTTATCCTGTCTACCATTGATAGGCATTTAGGTTGATTATGTGTCTTTACTATTGTGAATAGGCTGCAGTGGACATATGCATGGATGTATCTTTATGGTAGAATGATTTATATTCTTTTGGGTATATACCCAGTAATGGGATTGCTGGGTCAAATGGTAATTCTGTTTTAAGTTCACTGAGGAGTTGCCACACTTATTTCTACAATGGCTGAACTAATTTACACTCCCATCAGCACTGTATAAGCATTCTCTTTTCTCCACAACCTCGCCAACATCTATTATTTTTTGACTTTTTAATAATAGCCATTCTGAATGGTGTGAGATGGTATCTTGTAGTTTTCATTTGCATTTCTCTAATGGTTAGTGATGTTGAGCATTTTTCATATGCTTTTTGGCTGCATATATGTCTTCTTTTGAAAAGTGTCTGTTCATGTTCTTTGCCCACTTTTTGATGGGGTTGTTTTTGCTTGTAAATTTGTTTAAGTTCCTTATAGATTCTGGATATTAGACCTTTGTCAGATGTATAGTTTGCAAATATTTTCTCTCAGTAGGTTGTCTGTTTACTCTGTTGATAGTTTCTTTTGCTGTGCAGAAGCTCTTTAATTTAATTACATGCCATTTGTCAATTTTTGTTTCGTTGCAATTGCTTTTGGTGTCTTCATTATGAAATCTTCACCAAGTCCTATGTCCAGAATGGCATGTCCTAGGTTATCTTCCAGTGTTTTTATAGTTTGAGTTTTTACACATAAGTCTTTAATCCATCTTGAGTTGATTTTGTATATGGTGTAAGGAAGGGGTCAAATTTCAATCTTCTGCATGTGGCTAGCCATTTATTCTAGCACCATTTATTGAATAAGGAGTACTTTCCATTGCTTTTTTTTTTTTTTTTTGCCATTACTCTTTTTTTTTGTCAACTTTGTTGAAGATCAGATGGTTATAGGTGTATGGCATTATTTCTGGGCTCTCTCTACTGTTCCATTGGTCTATATGTCTGTTTTTGTACCAGTACCATGCTGTTTTGGTTACTGTAGCCCTGTAGTATATAGTTTGAAGTTGGGTAAGGTGATGCCTTCAGCTTTGCTTAGGGTTGCCTTAGCTATTCGAGCTCTTTTTTGGTTCCATATGAATTTCAAAATAGCTTTTTCTTTTTTTTTTTTTTTTGAGACGGACTCTTGCTCTGTCAGCCAGGCTGGAATGCAGTGGCGCAATCTCGGCTCACTGCAAGCTCCGCCTCCCAGGTTCATGCCATTCTCCTGCCTCAGCCTTCCAAGTGGCTGGGACTACAGGTACCCACCACCACACCCAGCTAATTTTTTGTATTTTTAGTAGAGACAGGGTTTCACCGTGTTAGCTAGGATGGTCTCGATCTCATGACCTCGTGATCTGCCCGTCTAGGCCTCCCAAAGTGCTGGGATTACAGGCATGAGCCACTGTGCCCGGCCAATTTGCATATGTTAAACCAACTTTGCATGTGCTGTTGGATTCAGTTTGCTAGCATTTTGTTGAGAATTTGTGCATCTATGTTCATCAAAAATATCAGCCTGAATTTTTCTTTTCTTTTTATTTTTGTTGTTGTTGTGTCTCTGACAGGTTTTGGTATCAGAATGATGCTGGCCTCATAGAATGAGTTGGGGAGGAGTCCCTCCTCCTCAATTTTTTGTAATAGTTTCTGTTGGAATGGTACCAGCTTTTCTTTATACATCAGGTAGAATTTGGCTGAGAATCCCTCTGGTCCTGGACCTTTTTTGTTTGTTTGTTTGTTTGTTTTGGTTGGTGGGCTTTTTATTACTAATTCAATTTCAGAACTCATTATTGGTCTGTTCAGGGATTCAGTTTATTCCTGGTTCAGTCTTAGGAAGCTGTATGTGTCCAGGAATTTATCCACTTCTAGATTTTCTAGTTTGTGTGCATAGAGGTATTCAAAGTAGTCTCTAAAGGTGTTTTGTATTTCTGTGGGGCCAGTGGTAACCTCCTCTTTGTAATTTCTAATTGTATTTATTTGGATCTTCTCTCGTTTTTTCTTTATTAGTCTAGCTAGTGATCTATCTATCTGATTAATTTCTTTCAAAGAACCGATTTCTGGATTTGTTGATCTTTTGTATGGTTTTTGTGTCTCAATTTCCTTTAGTTCAGCTCTGATTTTGGTTATTTCTTGTCTTCCAATAGCTTTGGGGTTGGTTTGCTCATGCATTCCTAGGTCTTCTAGTTGTAATATTAGGTTGTTAATTTGGGATCTGTCTGTTTCATGTGGGCATTTAGTGCTATAAACTTCCCTATTAACACTGCCTTAGCTGTGTCCCAGAGATTCTTGTATGTCATATCTTTGTTCTCATTAGTTTGGAAGAATTTTTTTATTTCTGACCTAATTTCGTTATTTACCCAAAAGTCATTTTGGAGCAGGTTGTTTAATTTCCATGTAATTGTGTGATTTCAATGATTTTCTTAGTATTGATTTCTATTTTTATTGCACTGTGGTCTGAGAATGTGGTTGGTATGATTTCAGGTTTTTTTATTTTGCTGAGTATTGTTTTATGTCTGATTGTCTGGTTGATTTTGGAGTATGTGCCATTTGGTGATAAGAAGAATGTATATTCTGTTGTTTTTAGGTGGAGCACTCTGTAGATGTCTATCAGGTTACTTTGGTCAAGTGTTCAGTTCAGGTCCTGAATAGCTTTGTTAATTTTCTGCCTCAATGATCTGTCTAATACTGTCAGTGGGGTGTTGAAGTCTCCCATTATTATTGTGTGGGAATCTAAATCTCTTCATAGGTCTCTAAGAACTTGTTTTATGAATCTGGGTGCTCCTGTGTTGAGTGTGTATATATTTAGGATAGTTAGGTCTTCTTGTTGAATTGTACCCTTTACTATTATATAATGCCCTGTTTATCTTTTTTTATCTTTGTTAGGTTAAAGTCCATTTTGTCTGAAATTATGATTGCAACCCCTGCTTTTTTTCTGTTTTCTGTTTGCTTTGTAGATTTTTCTCCATCCTTTTATTTTGAGCCTATAGATGTCATTACATGTGAGATGGGTCTCTTGAAGACAGCATACTATTGGGTCTTGCTTTTTTATCCAGCTTGCCACTCTGTGCCTTTTGATTGAGGTATTTAGCTGATTTACATTCAAGGTTAGTATTGATATGTGCAGATTTGATCCTGTCATCATGTTAGCTGGTTATTATGCAGACTTGTTAGTGTGGTTGATTTATAGTGTCACTAGTCTGTCTACTTAAGTGTGTTTTTGTAATGGCTAGTCATGGTCTTTCCCATCCATATTTGCTACTCCTCTCAGGACTGCTCATAAGGCAGATCTGGTGGAAAAAAAAAAATCCCCTCAGCATTTGCTTGTCGGAAAATCATCTTATTTCTCCTTCACATATGAAGCTTAGTTTGGCCAGATATGAAATTCTTAGTTGGAAATTTTCTTCTTTAAGAATGAAATGAGGCCAGGTAAGGTGGCTCATACCTGTAATCCCAGCACTTTGGGAGGCTGAGGCAGGCAGATCACCTGAGGTCAGGAGTTTGAAACCAGCCTGGCCAACACAGCAAAACCCTGTCTCTACTAAAAATACAAAAATTAGCTGGTCATAGTGGCGGGTGCCTGTAATCCCTGCTACTTGGGAGGCTGAGACAGAAGAATCACTTGAACCCAGGAGGTAGAGGTTGCAGTGAGCTGAGATCATGCCACTGCACTCAGCCTGGGCAACAGAGCAAAACTCTGTCTCAAAAAAAAAAAAAAAAAAAAAAGAATGCTGAATATAGGCCACCAGTCTCTTCTGGCTTTTAGGGTTTCTGTTGAAAGATCTGCTGTTAGCCTGATGGAGTTCCCTTTGTAGGTAACCTGCCCTTTCTCTCTAGCTGCCTTTGACATTTTTTCTTTCATGTAAACTTTGGAGAATCTGACGATTATGTGTCTTGGGGATGGTCTTGAGTAATATCTCTCAGGGTTCTCTGCATTTCCTGGATTTGAATGTTGGCCTCTCTAACAAGCTTCAGGAAATTTTCATGAACATTATCCTAAAATATGTTTTCCAAGTTGCTTGCTTTCTCCCTGTCTCTTTCAGGGATGCCCATGAGTCATAGATTTGATCTCATTACATAATCCCATATTTCTCTGAGGTTTTGTTCACTCTTTTTTATTCTTTTTTCTTTATTCTTGTCTGAATGGGTTATTTCAGAGAGCTAGTCTTCAAGCTCTGGGATTCTTTACTCAGCTTGGTCTATTCCGCTGTTAATACTTGCAGTTAGAATGTGCAATTCTTGTAGTGTGTTTTTCAGCTGTATCAGATCAGTTGGGTTCTTTTTTATAGAGGCTATTTCATCTGTCAGCTCCTGTATTGTTTTATTGTGATTATTAGCTTCCTTGGATTGGGTTTTGAATTCTCCTGAATCTTGATGATCTTCATTCCTATCCATATTCTGAATTCTATTTCTGTCATTTCAGTCATTCCAGCCCAGTTAAGAACCCTTGCTGGGGAACTAGTGTGGTCATTTGGAGGAAAGAAGACACTCTGGCTTTTTGATTTGCCAGAGTTTTTGTGCTAGTTCTGTCTCATTTGTGTAGGCTGATGTTCCTTCAATCTTTGAAGTTGCTGTCCTTTGGATGAAATTTTTTGTTTTTGCTTTTTTCTTCTTTGATGCCCTTGGGGGTTTGACTACAGGGCAAACCAAACCAAGGTGGGTTTGGTTAACTGCTTTCAATTCTAGTCCACTCCTAGGTCTTGGAGGAGCCCCTTCCAATTACTGTCTCCCTATTTGCATTTCTTTTTTGGGGTGTTCTGGTCCATGGAGCTCCCTTAGGCAAGGGCCACAGGTGGCAGACAAGCTGTAACCTTGCCAGGTCAGCTCCAATCTGCTGTCTGTGTGCTTCCTGGGGAAACACGAGGTTGTCCCTGCCTGCAGAGTTCAGGCAGAATCAGGACCACTGGATTGGAAACTACTGGGTGTGGCCCATCTGGCTACAGGACGCGGGGGTGGGTGGATGCAGTTGGCTGCCCTGCTGTCTGGGTGTTTCCAGTGCAACAGGAGGCTGCGTCCCTTGACAAATTCAGGTAGAAGTAGAGCCACTGGGCCAGCTCTGGCAGGTGTGGCTTGCCTGGCTACCAGTGGCTGGTGTTGGTGGGAATGCCTTCTCTGGTGTCTGTGCTTCCTGGGACAACAGAAGGCTGCATTTGTTGGCTGAGTTCACACAGAAGCAGGACTGCTGGGCCAGAAGCTCTAGCAGGTGTTATCCACCTGGCTGTCAGTGGCAAGGGTGGGTATGGTCATGTGCCTTGCCATTTGGGTGCTTCCTATGACAACAGGAGGCTGCACCCACCAGTTGAATCCACACAGAAGCAGAGCTGCTGGGCCAGGAGCTCTAGCAGTTGTTACCCAACTGGCTACCAGTGGCAGGGTAGGTAGAGTCACTTACTCTGCTGTTCGGGTGTTTCCCAGGACAACAGAAAGCTGCACCCTCTAGCTGAGTTCACACAGAAGCAGGGCTATTAGGCTGGAAGCTCTAGCAGGTGTTGCCCGCCTGGCTACCAGTGGTGGGGGTGGGTGGAGTGGCTGGCCGAGTTCAGGCTGAAGTGAGACTACTGGGCTAGAGGCTGGTGTTGAGTCCTACCCAGCATGGGTGGGTGGAGCAACCTTACTGCTCCCATGCATGGCAACTGCAGCCTTTGCTGGGGCTTCGGCGCTGGCTGGTCTGCCCCAGGGCCCAAGGCTTATAGAGGTCCCCTTGGACTCGAGAGTTGGCCCTATAATACGTCTGAGTGGCTCTCTGCCTCAGTCTAGAAACACGATGGGTGGGTGTGGGGCCCAGTGGGATTCTCCTATTCCCAGTCTTGCACAGGTCCCTGTGGAGAGCATGAATCACCCTGGGGGCTCTCACTCACTCACCCTGTCCTGTGCTGGAGAGGTTCTCCTGGCTCCATGCTGAGCCCAAACAGCTGGTGCCTGGCTTCACTCCTTTCTGCACTCTGTGTTCCTCTACTGCCCTGATGGGTCCCAACGTGGTTTTTCAGATGATCGGCCTGCAGCTCAGTGTTTGCTAGTCCTTTTGTTTCTTCTCCAAAACAGCAGCACACATGAGCTGCCTCTAGTCCACTATCTCGGCCCCACCCCCAATTCATCTCAATCGTCCCATCTTGTCCTGAGTCCTGGCTTACCATTTGACATTCCACATAGATTTGCCTGTAGATTTTGGGGTTCAGCCCCCATGCCAATAATTTCTTCTTACAAATTAGCACACTGATACCTGGATTTGAGAACTCAGTTCTGTGAGCTGTAGACCCGCGCTCCACATACCGACAGGCAGGGAGTCTGACCTGGACTATAGCGATTCTCTGAAGTTCTGCAGGCCTGGTGAAGCCTCTTGGCAGCTCACCTCCTGGCCGGCCAGCCTTTCCTAAACACACCCGCTGCATTGCTGGGTGCCTAGTGGGAGCCTTTTTCATAAACTTCCTCAAGGCAATAACTGTCTGGAGCCTCCTCTGTAGAGCATTCCAGTTGCCTCCTATAATTCTCATTACAAACTTCCAACTGGGTCCAGCTACGCAGAGAGACCCACACAAGTGACCCTTTGGTGGTAGCTATACAGCACCTGTGGAGGTGCCCAGGGAGCAGGCAATCTTTTGTAACAGAGGTCTCCAAATGAGAGAACTTTATGTCCTGATGGTTCACAAAGCCATTAGAAGGGGCACACAGGCATGAATGGATTTAAGGGGTTCCTTTTTCCCAGGTTCTCAACTTCCATACGTACTTTCCTGAAAAAGATCTGCTGTAGTTGAGGACTGATGTCAAAGCTACTTTCTGGCCTCCCTCCCCAGCCTCCCTTCACCCAGTATACAAAAGGGCTCACGCTCACACAGCCCTTTGAGCCTTTGAGCCTGGCTTGGAGCAAAAGAACTGTAAGGTGCCAAAGGAAGAGAAAATTCTAAATATTTTAAATTGCATGATTTCTTTCATCCTCCATTGTTCAAAAATGCATCATATGTGAAGGAGAGTCCCATGAGAGTAAAGCAAAAAAAGTATCAGTGAGAAACAGTGAACACTTTTGTATCATAATTCATCCAGGAAAGGAGGGCTGCATGCCTTGTCCATCTATATTTCTTAAGGTTCAGAAGCAAAATGATTGTTACAAGGCACATATTAACATGATTATTGAATTAAAAAATGAGAAACTTTTTCTGATACAAAGTAATTTGATTTGGCTGATTAGTTTAACAGTGAGGACTGCTTTTGCCAATAAGAATGTCACAGATGTTTTCCATAAATGAGTTAAGTCTGCAGCTCCGATATGTTAATGAAAATACATTTATTTTGTTTTTTGGTTTCTTTTTTGAGACAGAGTCTCACTCTGTTGCCCAGGCTGGAGTGCAATGGCATGATCTCAGCTCACTGCAACCTCCACCTCCAGGGTTCAAGCGATTCTCCTGCCTCAGCCTCCTGAGTAGCTGGGACTACAGGCACCTGCCACCATACCCAGCTAATTTTTGTACTTCTAATAGAGACAGGGTTTTGCCATGTTAGCCAGACTGGTCTTAAATTCCTGACCTCAGCTGATCCGCCTGCCTTGGGCTTCCAAAGTGCTGGAATTACAGGCGTGAGCCACCACTCCCAGCCTGAAAATACATTTAAAACATGAGATAGGGTAAAAGGATTTGATCCAAAAAATTTAGCAAAAATGTATTAAAATTAACATTTTTACTTCCCGAATCTTTCCTGAGCATATCAATTGAAACAAGGTGCCTCTAAGTGAAAAAATAGCAGATATAATTAATAAGCATTTGATAAGTCTTCAGAAAGCTTTGCTGGTATAATTCCAGAAACTGAGAACTTGAGTGACACTTGTGACTGAGTAACAGATTGGGTGGTTTCCAAGTCTTTACTTTCAACAAAACTGAAGCAAGATCTAATTAAGTTGTCAGCTAATAGAGCATTGAAAACAACTTTTGATGATAGATCATTATATGGTTTTTATTATATAATTCAGAGGTATTCAAAGAATCGGCTGGCATTCCTATGATGAAATTTTTTTCCCATCTAATTTATGCAAACTAGATTTCTCAGAGCTTGTCTATAAAAATAAAAAATAGGGACCGGGCGCGGTAGCTCACGCCTGTAATCCCAGCGCTTTGGGAAGCCAAGGCGGGCAGATCACAAAGTCAAGAAATAGAGACCATCCTGGCTAACACGGTGAAACCCGGTATCTACTAAAAATACAAAAAATTAGCCAGGCATGGTGGTGAGCGCTTGTAGTCCCAGCTACTCAAGAGGCTGAGGTGGAAGAATGGCGTGAATCTGGGAGGCGGAGCTTGCAGTGAGCTGAGATCGCGCCAGTGCACTCCATCGTGGGCGAAAGTGCGAGACCCCGTCTTTAAAAAATAATAAAAAAATAAAATAAAATAATAAAAACTAGGAAGAGAACTAATTTCGAACTCAGTCCAATTCTAGCAATAAGTAATATTCATCCACATATATAAATGTTGGGAAAAATTCAGCCCTACCATCATTAAGAATATATTTCCAATTACGTTTTATGTTTAATAATTATTATTTAAAATAATACATATTGTTTTGATCAATTGTGGACTAATAATATCATAATAATAAATCCAAAAGAAATTTAACACTTATAGTAGCCCTGTGGTCACAGAAAATAATTTTTTAAATTAATGTCAATTTACATACATATTTTTCCTGCAGATAAGAATGATCAGTAAAGCATAAAATATAGCAGAATATGATTCAATGAAAACAGTGGAATGAAAATATGAGTAGTAGAAGAAAAATAAGGTTGTAAAACTTTTTTTATTATTATACTTTAAGTTCTAGGGTACATGTACACAATGTGCAGGTTTGATACATAGGTATACATGTGCCATGTTGGTTTGCTGCACCCATCAACTCATCATTTACATTAGGTATTTCTTGTAATGCTATCCCTCCACCAGCCCCCAACCCCCCAACAGGCCCTGGTGTGTGATGTTCCCCACCCTGTGTCCAAGTGATCTCATTGTACAATTCCCACCTATGAGTGAAAACATGCACTATTTGGTTTTCTGTCCTTGTGATAACTTACTGAGAATGATGGTTTCCACCTTCGTCCATGTCCCTGCAAAGGACATGAACTCATCCTTTTTTATGGCTGCATAGTATTCCATGGTGTATATGTGCCACATTTTCTTATTCCAGTCTATCATTGATGGACATTTGGGTTGGTTCCAAGTCTTTGCTATTGTGAATAGTGCCACAATAAACATACGTGTGCATATGTCTTTATAGTAGCATGATTTATGATCCTTTGGGTATATACCCAGTAATGGGATTGCTGGGTCAAATGATAATTCTAGTTCTAGATCCTTGAGGAATTGCCACACTGCCTTCCACAATGGTTGAACTAATTTACACTCCCACCAACAGTGTAAAAGCATTCCTATTTCTCCACATCCTCTCCAGCATCTGTTGTTTCCTGACTTTTTAATGATTGCCATTTTAACTGGCACAAGATGGTATCTCATTGTGGTTTTGATTTGCATTTCTCTGATGACCAGTGATGATGAGCATTTTTTCATGTGTCTGTTGGCTGCATGGATGTCTTCTTTTGAGAAGTGTCTGTTCATATCCTTCACCCACTTTTTGATGGGATTTTTTTTCTTGTAAATTTGTTTGAGTTATTTGTAGATTCTGGATATTAGCCCTTTGTCAGATGGGCAGATTGCAAAAATTTTCTCCCATTCTGTAGGTTGCCTGTTCACTCTGATGGTAGTTTCTTTTGCCATGCAGAAGCTCTTTCGTTTAATTAGATCCCTTTTGTCAATTTTGGCTTTTGTTGCCATTGCTTTTGGTGTTTTAGTCATGAAGTCCTTGCCCATGCCTACGTCCTGAATGGTATTGCCTAGGTTTTCTTCTAGGGTTTTTATGGTTTTAGGTCTAACATTTAAGTCTTTAATCCATCTTGAATTAATTTTTTATAAGGTGTAAGGAAGGGATCCAGTCTCAGCTTTCTACATATGGCTAGCCAGTTTTCCCAGCACCATTTATTAAATAGGGAATCCTTTCCCCATTGCTTGTATTTGTCAGGTTTGTCAAAGATCAGATGGTTGTAGATGTGTGGTGTTATTTCTGAGGCCTCTTTTCTGTTCCATTGGTCTATGTATCTGTTTTGGTACCAGTACCGTGCTGTTTTGGTTACTGTAGCCTTGTAGTATAGTTTGAAGTCAGGTAGCTTGATGCCTCCAGCTTTGTTCTTTTTGCTTAGGATTGTCTTGGTAATGGGGGGTTCTTTTTTGGTTCCATATGATCTTTAAAGTAGTTTTTTCCAATTCTGTGAAGAAAGTCATTGGTAGCTTGATGGGGATGGCATTGAATCTATAAATACTTTGGGCAGTGTGGCCATTTTCATGATATTGATTCTTCCTATCCATGAGAATGAAATATTCTTCCATTTGTTTGTGTCCTCTTTTATTTCGTTGAGCAGTGGTTTGTAGTTCTCCTTGAAGAGGTCCTTCACATCCCTTGTAAGTTGGATTCCTAGGTATTTTATTCTCTTTGTAGCAATTGTGACTGGGAGTTCACTCATAATTTGGCTCTCTGTCTGTTAATGGCGTATAGGAATGCTTGTGATTTTTGCACACTGATTTTGTATCCTGAGACTTTGCTGAAGTTGCTTATCAGCTTAAGGAGATTTTGGGCTGAGACGATGGGGTTTTCTAAATATACAATCATGTCATCTGCAAACAGGGACAATTTGACTTCCTCATTTCCTGATTGAATACCCTTTATTTCCTTCTCTTGCCTGATTGCCCTGGCCAGAACTTCCAACACTATGTTGCGTAGGAGTGGAATCCTTGTCTTATGCCAGTTTTCAAAGGGAATGCTTCCAGTTTTTCCCCATTCAGTATGATATTGGCTGGGGGTTGTCATAAATAGCTCTTATTATTTTGAGATACACTCCATGAATATTTAGTTTATTGAGAGTTTTTAGCATGAAGCACTGTTGAATTTTGTTGAAGGCCTTTCCTGCATCTATTGAGATAATCATGTGGTTTTTGTCATTGGTTCTCTTTATGTGATGAATTACATTTATTGATTTGTGTATGTTGAACCAGCCTTGCATCCCAGGGATGAAGCCAACTTGATCATGGTTGATAAGCTTTTTGATGTGCTGCTGGATTTGGTTTGCCAGTATTTTATTGAGGATTTTCGCATTGATGTTCATCAGGGATATTGGTCTAAAATTCTCTTTTTTTGTTGTGTCTCTGCCAGGCTTTGGCATAAGGATGATGTTGGCCTCATGAAATGAGTTAGGGAGGATTCCCTCTTTTTCTATTGATTGGAATAGTTTCAGAAGGAATGGTACCAGCTCCTCTTTGTACCTCTGGTAGAATTTGGCTGTGAATCTATCTGGTCCTGGACTTTTTTTGGTTGGTAGGCTATTAATTATTGCCTCAATTTCAGAGCCTGTTATTGGTCTATTCAGAGGTTCAACTTCTTCCTGGTTTAGTCTTGGGTGGGTGTATGTTTCCAGGAATTTATCCATTTCTTCTAGATTTTCTAGTTTATTTGCAAAGAAGTGTTTATAGTATTCTCTGATGGTAGTTTGTATTTCTGTGGGATTGGTGGTGATATCCCCTTTATCATTTTTTATTGCATCTATTTGATTCTTCTCTCTTCTTCTTTATTAGTCTTGCTAGCAGTCTATCAATTTTGTTGATCTTTTCAAAAAACCAGCTCCTGGACTCCTTGATTTTTTTGAAGGGTTTTCGTGTCTCTATCTCTTTCATCTCTGCTCTGATCTCAGTTATTTCTTGCCTTCTGCTAGCTTTTGAATTTGTTTGCTCTTGCTTCTTTAGTTCTTTTAATTGTGATTTTAGGGTGTCAATTTTAGATCTTTCCTGCTTTCTCTTGTGGGTGTTTAGTGCTATAAATTTCCCTCTACACACTGCTTTAAACGTGTCCCAGAGATTCTGGTACGTTGTGTCTTTGTTCTCATTGGTTTCAAAGAACATCTTTATTTCTGCCTTCATTTCGTTATGTATCCAGTAGTCATTCAGGAGCAGGTTGTTCAGTTTCCATGTAGTTGTGTGGATTTGAGTGAGTTTCTTAATCCTGAGTTCTAATTTGATTGCACTGTGGTCTGAGAGACAGTTTGTTGTGATTTCTGTTCTTTTACATTTGCTGAGGAGTGCTTTACTTCCAATTATGTGGTCAATTTTAGAATAAGTGTGATGTGATGCTGAGAAGAATGTATATTCTATTGATTTGGGGTGGAGAGTTATGTAGATGTCTATTAGGTCTGCTTGTTGCAGGGCTGAGTTCAAGTCCTGGATATCCTTGTTAACCTTCTGTCTCGTTGATCTGTCTAATATTGACAGTGGGGTGTTAAAGTCTCCCATTATTATTGTGTGCAAGTCTAAGTTTCTTTGTAGGTCTCAAAGGACTTGCTTTATGAATCTGGGTGCTCCTGTATTGGGTGCATATATATTTAGGATAGTTAGCTCTTCTTGGCGAATTGATCCCTTTACCATTATGTAATGGCCTTGTCTCTTTTGATCTTTGTTGGTTTAAAGTCTGTTTTATCAGAGAATAGGATTGCAACCCCTGCTTTTTTTTTTTTTTTTTTTTGCTTTCCATTTGCTTGGTATATCTTCCTCCATCCCTTTATTTTAGTCTATGTGTGTCTTTGCACATGAGCTGGGTCTCCTGAATACAGCACATTGATGGGTCTTGACTCTTTATCCAATTTGCCAGTCTGTGTCTTTTAATTGGGGCATTTAGCCCATTTACATTTAAGGTTAATATCGTTATGTGTGAATTTGATCCTGTCATTATGATGTTCGCTGGTTATTTTGCCCGTTAATTCATGCAGTTTCTTCATAGCATCGATGGTCTTTACAATTTGGCATGTTTTTGCAGTGGCTGGTACCAGTTGTTCCTTTCCATGTTTAGTGCTTCCTTTAGGAGCTCTCGTAAGGCAGGCCTGGTGGTGACAAAATCTCTCAGCATTTGCTTGTCTGTAAAGGATTTTATTTTTCCTTTACTTATGAAGCTTAGTTTGGCTAGATATGAAATTCTGGGTTGAAAATTCTTTAAGAATGTTGAATATTGGCCCCCACTCTCTTCTTGTAGGGTTTCTGCAGAGAGATCCACTGTTAGTCTGATGGGCGTCCCTTTGTGGGTAACTCAACCTTTCTCTTTGGCTGCCCTTAACACTTTTTCCTTCATTTCAACCTTGGTGAATCTGACAATTATGTGTCTTGGGGTTGCTCTTCTCAAGGAGTATCTTTGTGGTGTTCTCTGTATTTTCTGAATTTGAATGTTGGCCTGCCTTGCTAGGTTGGGGAAGTTCTCCTGGATAATATCCTGAAGAGTGTTTTCCAAGTTGGTTCCATTCTCCCCATCACTTCCAGGTACACCAATCAAACATAGATTTGGTCTTTTCACATAGTCCCATTTGTCTTGGAGGCTTTGTTCATGTCTTTTTACTCTTTTTCCTGTAACCTTGTCTTATTTGCTTTATTTCATTAATTTGATCTTCAATCACTGATACCCTTTCTTCCACTTGATCGAATCGGCTATTGAAGGTTGTGCATGTGTCACGAAGTTCTTGTGCCGTGGTTTTCAGCTCCATCAGGTCATTTAAGGTATTCTCTACACTGTTTATTCCAGTTAGCCATTCGTCTAATCTTTTTTCAAGGGTTTTACTTCCTTGCGATGGGTTCAAACGTCCTCCTTTAGCTCGGAGAAGTTTGTTTTTACCAACCTTCTGAAGCCTACTTCTGTCGACTTGTCAAAGTCATTCTCCATCCAGCTTTGTCTCTTTGCTGGCGAGGAGTTGCGATCCTTTGGAGGAGAAGAGGCACTCTGATTTTTAGAATTTTCAGCTTTTCTGCTCTGGTTTCTCCCCATCTTTGTGGTTTTATCTACCTTTGGTCTTTGATGTTGGTGACCTACAGATGGGGTTTTGGTGTAGATGACCTTTTTGGTGATGTTGATGCTATTCCTTTCTGTTTTTCAGTTTTCCTTCTAACTGTCAGGTCCCTCAGCTGCAGGTCGGTTGGAGTTTGCTGGAGGTCCACCCCAGACCCTGTTTTCCTGGGTATCACCAGCGGAGGCTGCAGAACAGCAAATATTGCAGAACAGCAAATACTACTTCCTGATCCTTCCTCTGGAAGCTTCGTCCCAGAGAGGCAGGTGCCTATATGAGGTGTCTGTCGGCCCCTCCTGGGAGGTATCTCCTAGTTAGGCTACATGGGGGTGAGGGACCCACTTAAGGAGGCAGTCTGTCCGTTCTCAGAGCTCAAACACCGTGCTGAGAGAACCAATGCTCTCTTCAGAGCTGTCAGACAGGGACCTTTAAGTCTGCAAAAGTTGTCTGCTGCCTTTTGTTCAGCTATGCCCTGGCCACAGAGATGGAGTCTAGAGGCAGTAGGCCTTACTGAGCTGCAGTGGGCTCTGCCCAGTTCGAACTTCCCGGCTGCTTTGTTTACCTACTCAAGCCTCAGCAACAGCGGACGCCCCTCCCCCAGCCAGGCTGCCGCCTCACAGTTCGATCTCAGACTGCTGCACTAGCAGTGAGCAAGGCTCCGTGGGTGTGGAACCCGCCGAGCCAGGCATGGGAGAGAATCTCCTTGTCTGCCGGTGGCTAAGATCTTGGGAAAAGTGCAGTATTTGGGCAGGAGTGTCCCATTTTTCCAGGTAGTCTGTCACGGCTTCCCTTGGCTAGGAAAGGGAAATCCCCTGACCCCTTGCACTTCCAGGGTGAGGTGACGCCCTGCCCTGCTTCAGCTCCCCATCCGTGGGCTGCACCCACTGTCAAACCAGTCCCAGTGAGATGAATCAGTTACCTCAGTCGGAAATGCAGAAATCACCTGTCTTCTGCGTCGATCACGCTGGGAGCTGCAGACTGGAGCTGTTCCGGTTGTTAAACTTTTAACTGTTAAAGAAGAGTTTGGGTCTTTCTTAGTGGATGATTATATTAATAAATATCAAATTGCTCTAATATAAGGCTGGAGTGCAGTGGCGCAATCTTGGCTGACTGCAACCTCTGCATCCCAGGTTCAAGTGATTCTCCTGCCTCACCCTTGGGAGTAGCTAGGACTATGAGTGTGTGCCACCACGCCAGGCTAATTTTTTTGGTATTTTTAGTAGAGATGGGGTTTCACCATGTTGGCCAGGCTGGTCTCCAACTCCTGAACTCAAGTGATCTGCGCACCTCGGCCTCCTAAAATGCCAGGATTACAGGTGTGAGTCACCGCACCCGGCCCAATTGATATATTTAAAAGCCTGATGTAGGCTGGGCAAAGTGGCTCATGCCTGTAAACTCAGCACTTAGAGAGGCCAAGGAAGGAGGATCCCTTGAGGCCAAGAGTTCAAGACCAGCTGAGGCAACATAGTGAGACTGTCTCTACGAAAAACAGAAAAATTAGCCAGGCATGGTGTCATGTGCCTATAGTCCCAGCTACTAGGAAGACTGAGGTGGTAGGATTCCTTGAGTTCAGGAGTTTGAGGTTACAGTGAGTTATGATCACAACATTTTACTCCGGCCTCAGCAACAGAACAAGACTCTGTCTCTCGGGAGGGGGAAAAAGCCTGTTTTAAGAGTTTAAAATGTCAGTATTAAAAGAAATAAGAAATCCTTATCTTTTAAACTATTTATATTTCAGGTGAATAATTTTAGATATCAACTTAAAAATGTGAGAGGAGGCTAGGCACAGTGGCTCACACCTGTAATCTCTGTACTTTGGTAGATGGAGGCAGGAAGATCACTTAAGCCCAGGAGTTGAAGACCAGCCTGAGCAACATGAAAGATCTTGTCTCTACCAAAACTTTAAAAAGTAGCCAGGTGTGGTGGCATGTGCCTGCAGTCCCAGGCACATGAGACTACTCGGGAGGCCAAGGCCCAGTTATTCAGGAGGCTGGGGCAGGAGGATCACTTGAATCCAAGAGGTCAACACTGCAGTAAGCTATGATGGTGCCACTGCACTCCAGCCTGGGTGACACAGCAAGACCCTGTCTTAAAAAAAAAAAAAAAAAAAAAAAAAAAAGTATGTGGCGATTCCTCAGGGATCTAGAACCAGAAATACCATTTGACCCAGCAATCCCATTACTGGGTATATACCCAAAGGTTTATAAATCATTCCACTACAAAGACACATGCAGCCAGGAGCGGTGGCTCATACCTGTAATCCCAGCACTTTGGGAGTCTGAGGTGGGCAGATCACAAGGTCAGGAGTTCAAGACCAGCCTGGCCAATATGGTGAAACCCGTCTCTATTAAAAATACAAAAAAAATTAGCCAGGCTAGGTGGTGGGCCCCTGTAGTCCCAAGCTACTTGGGAGGCTAAGGCAGGAGAATCGCTTGAACCCAGGAGGAGGAGGTTGCAGTGAGCCAAGATTGTGCCACTGCACTTCAGCCTGGGTGACACAGCAAGATTCTGTCTCAAAAAAAAAAAAATGCACACATATGTTTATTGCAGCACTGTTTACAATAGCAAAGACACCGAACCAACCCAAATGCCCATCAATGATAGAGTGGATAAAGAAAATATGATACATATACACCATGGAATACTATGCAGCCATAAAAAAGAGTGAGTTCATGTCCTTTGCAGGGACATGGATGAAGCTGGAAACCATCATCCTCAGCAAACTAACACAGGAAGAGAAAACCAAATAGCGCATGTTCTCACTCATAAGTGGGAGATGAACAATGAGAACACGTGGACACACGGAGGGGGACATCACACACCGGGGCCTGTTGGGGGGCTAGGGGCAAGGGGAGGGAGAGCATTAGGACAAACACCTGATGCATGAGGGGCTTAAAGCCTAGATGACAGGCTGATAGGTGTAGTAAACCACCATGGCACATGTATGCCTACGTAACAAACCTGCACCTTCAACACATGTATCCCAGAACTTAAAGTAAAATAAAATAAAAATAAAAATAAAAAGTGAGAGGGGACACATAGTTTTGGGACATGCTTTTTGCCTATTTCAGAATAAAAATGTGTGCAGACTACCACCTGGAGTAAGGAGAAACGCCTTGAGCCCTGAGCCATGGTGGTGGGTGGCCAGGAAGATGGCAGAGGCAGGTAGCCTCTGTACATGGTGTGTGTGTGTGTGTGTGTGTGTGTGTGTGTGTGTGTGTGTGCATAAAATCATGTATATGTGTATGGGGGTATTTTGTCATTGTTTTACCATAATTTTACTCTGATTAAACAAACGCTTCACAGAAATCCCTTGATGTCAACTGCTATAGCTCTAGTTCATTTTTCAAGTGGATGCATAGAATTCACAATTTATGCAGCCATTCCCTTAGTGATGGGATCTACTTTGTTTCTAAATTTTTGTTACTATGATCAAGGCTGAAATAAACATCTCTGTACATACATCTGTATAATTGGTGTGTTTTATTTCTACAGGACAAACTCCTTAGAAGTAAGTTTCATACTGTCATTGTTACTATCGCTATGATTTATTTTCTTTCTTTCTTTTTTTTATGGAGACAGGGTCTCACTCTGTCACCCAGGCTGGAGTGCAGGGCGCGATCTCGGCTCACTGCAACCTCTGCCTCCCAGGCTCAAGCGAGTCTCCTGCCCCGCCTCCCGAATAGCTGGGATTACAGGCACATGCCACCACTACCCAGCTAATTTTTGTATTTTTAGTAGAGATGGGGTTTCACCATGTTGGCCAGGCTGGTCTAGAACTTCTGACCTCAAATAATCCACACACCTTGGCCTCCCAAAGTGGTGAGATTACAGGCCTGAGCCACTATGCTTGGCTGATTTATTTTCTGACATCTGGTAATATAAGTCTTTCCTACTACTATTCCTTTTTTTTTTTTTTTTTTTTTTTTTGAGACAGAGTCTTACTCTGTCACCCAGGCTGGAGTGCAGTGGTATGATCAATGCAACCTCTGCCTGCCAGGCCCATGTGATCTTTCCATCTCCCAGCCTCCCAAGTAGCTGGAACTACAGGCACATGCCACCATGCCTGGCTAATTTTTTGTAGGGATGGGGTTTTGCTATGTTGCCCAGGCTGGTCTTGAACTCCTGAGTTCAAGTGATCTGCCCACCTCGGCCTCCCAAAGTGCTGGGATTACAGATGTGAGCCAACACTCCCAACCCTACTATTCTTTTTCATATATTTATTGGTCATTTGGGGGGATTTGTTCTTCCACATACACTCTAACACCACTTTATCCAATCAAAAAATATACTGTTGGCATTATAACCAAATTTATAATGAATTTGTATACTAATTTGGTAAAACTGACATTTTGGGTACTGTATTCTCATCTAAAAACATGGTACTGTTTCATTTGTTCAGATCTTGTTTCTGTTCTTTGATATAGTTTTACAGTCTTCATTATATAATTTTTGTATCTTCCTTGTTAAATACATTCCTTATGCTTTTACAACTTGTACTGCTATGGTAAAAGTGTTATTTTCCCCATTTTTATTAATATTTCTAGTTGCTTAACTGAAGTAGAATAAAGCTATTGATTCTGGTGTATGTAGCTTTCATCTGGACAGCTTTTACAAATTATCTCATTATCTCAAACAAAAATGTTTGCTTCATTTTTAAAATTAGCATCTCTTGTGGTTTTTTGTATTTGTTTGTTTTTTGTTTTTGTTTTTGTTTTGAGACGGAATCTCACTCTGTTGCCCAGGCTGGAGTGCAGTGGCGATCTCGGCTCACTGCAAGCTCCGCCTCCCGGGTTCACGCCATTCTCCTGCCTCAGCCTCCCAAGTAGCTGGGACTACTGGCGCCCGCCACCACGCCCGGCTAATTTTTTGTATTTTTAGTAGAGGCGGGGTTTCACCGTGTTAGCCAGGATGGTCTCGATCTCCTGACCTCGTCATCCGCCTCCCAAAGTGCTGGGATTACAGGCGTGAGCCATGGCACCCAGCGCATCTCTTGCGTTTTCTAAGTCTACAATCATATCAACAACAAAAGGAGGCTGTTTTATCACTTTTCCAGTATTTATTATCAATTACCTCGTTTTTTATCTTATTGTATTGACTAAAACTTCCGAATTAATGTTAAATAATAATGTCAGCTTGGGCAACATGGCATAACCTCGTATCTACAAAACAAACGATAAACAAACAAACAAAAACTATCTGGGTGTGGTGGCTCAAGCCTGTAGTCCTAGCTACTGAGGAGGCTGAGGTGGGAGGTTCAATTGAGCCATATCAAGGCTGCAGTGAGCTGTGATCACAACACTGCACTCCAGCATGGGCAACAGAATGAGACCTTGTCTTTTAAAAAAAGTCTACTATAAATACTTTCCTTTTATCCTTATTTTGCTTGGAGGTTTTATAATGAATGGCTTCTACGTTTAATCAATGCCTTTTTGGCCTCTATTGATTGGCTCATATGGTGTTTTCTCCTTTAATTTGTTGATGTTTTGGGGTTGTATTGATAGACTTCCCAATATTGATTTTGTATAATCATAGGGAATATAAGTTGCTGAACTCCATTTCCTATTTTTTTTTTTTTTTTTTTTTGAGATGGGAGGCTCTCTCTGTCACCAAGGCTGGAGTGCAGTGGTGCAATCACAGCTCACTGCAACCTCCTCCTGCCTCAGCCTCGCAGGTACCTGGGACTACAGGCGTGCACCACCACGCCCAGCTAATTTTTGTATTTTTAGTAGAGTTGGGGTTTCACCATGTTGGCCAGGCTGGTCTTGAACTCCTGACCTCAACTGTTCTGCTCCCCCCTTGGCCTCTCAAAGTGCTGGGATTACAGGGTTGAGCCACCGTGCCAGTCCTTGCTAATTTTTTTGTTTGTTTGTTTGTTTTTGAGACGGAGTCTCACTCTGTAGCCCAGGCTGGAGTGCAGTGGCGCAATCTCGGCTCACTGCAAGCTCCGCCTCCCGGGTTCACGCCATTCTCCTGCTTCAACCTCCCGAGTAACTGGGACTACAGGCGCCAGCCACCACCCCGGCTAATTTTTTGTATTTTTAGTAGAGAAATACACCATGTTAGCCAGGATGGTCTCCATCTCCTGACCTCGTGATCCGCCCGCCTTGGCCTCCCAAAGTGCTGGGATTACAGGCGTGAGTCACTGCGCCCGGCGTTTTTTTTTTTTTTTCTTTTTTTTTAGACGGAGTTTTGCTCTTGTTCCCCAGGCTGGAGTGCAATGGCACAATCTCGGCTCACCACAACCTCTGCCTCGAGTGATTCTCCTGCCTCAGCCTCCCGAGTAGCTGAGATTACAGGGATGCGCCACCACACCTGGCTAATTTTGTATACTTGCTAATTTTTTAAAGAAATGTTTATCTTTATTAACAAGCCTTTGCTGCAAAAATAAACTATCCCCAAATCTTAACAGCTTACAACAACAACAGCTTACAAAAACAAATGTTTATTTCTTCCTCGGTTGTGACTCTGCTAGGCTGGTCCCAAGACAATAGGTTGGATTCAGGGCTACCCTGAGTATTTCTCACTCAGGGACAAGCTGAAATAGAGGCTATCTGTGGGTGGCAGGAAGGTAAGGGGACTGATGGAAACTGACCATGCCTTTCTCACTCATCATTGACCAAAGTAAGAGACAGGGCCAAACCCAACATCAACAGAATGAGGCGAAAATACTCTACCCATTGGGTAGAATGGAGTAATTTTGCTAAAAAAATCTTCCTTTTTTTTTCTAGATTTTACTACTTGTTGCTGTAGAATTTCACATAATTTAATTTATTTTTGTTTTAATCACTCCTATATCTGTGGTTGTATCTCCTTTCTCATTCCCAGTCTTTCAGACCTTGGCTATTTCTTGTTTCCCAGCTGTAACTCACAATACATTTCATTCATGTTACTGGTTTTTATAAAGAACAAGCTGGGACTACAGGCAACCACCACCACACCCAGCTAATTTTTGCATTTTTAGTAGAGATGGGGTTTCATCATGCTGGCCAGGCTGGCCTTGAACTCCTGACCTCAAGTGATCCACCCCTCTCAGCCTCCCAAAGTGCTGGGATTATAGGTATGAGCCACAGCACCCAGCCCATTTCTCAACTTTCATAATTGGATACATTTCTACTAAATATAATCTATTTCCCCATATCTGGGAAACCACACTGTTTCTACACTCACACAGAACACTTCGTTTCTGACACTAGATATGCAGGTTTTATTCCCACATCAATCAATTCTCTGACATAGGCTGGGTGTTCCACAATTCAATTCTGACACTCTCTACCTGGAGTTAGTGTCAGATCCCACAGATTAAGGGCTCAGTCCCGCAAGGTTGCCCCCATTAAAGATGCCAACTGCAAATCCAAGCCTCCTACACTTCTGACCAACTGGCTGTATAAATCAGGGATTCTCATGACTCCCTCCTTGGATTTGATAATTTGCTAGAATCCTTCATAAAACTCAGGGAAACACTTACGTTTACTAGTTTATGATAAAGAATATTATAGGCCGGGCGCGGTGGCTCACGCCTGTAATCGCAACACTTTGGGAGGCCGAAGCAGGTGGATCTCTTGAGCCCAAAAGTTCAAGACCAGCCTGGCCAACATGGCGAAACCCTGTCTCTACTAAATATGCAAAAATTAGCCGGGCTTGGTGGTGCATGCCTGTAATCCCAGCTACTTGGGAGGCTGAGGCAGGAGAATCACGTAAACCCAGGAGACAGAGATTGCAGTGAGCCGAGATCACCCCACTGCATTCCAGCCTAGGCGACAGAGCCAGACTCTGCCTCAAAAAAAGATATATATATATAATAAAGGGATGAACAGCCAGGTGAAGAGGTATGTAGAATGAGGTCCAGAAGGATCCCAAGTGCAGGAGTCTCTGTCCCCATGGAGTTGGGGTACACCACACCATCTTCCCATGGTGGATGTGTTCACCAGCTGGGAAGCTCACCACATTTCTTTGTTCAAGAGTTTTTAGGGCCAGGCGCAGTGGCTCACACCTCTAATCCCAGCACTTTTGGAGGCCTAGGCAAATGGATAACCTGAGGTAAGGAGTTCAAGACCAGCCTGGCCAACATGGAGAAATCCCATTTCTACTAAAACCACAAAAATGGGCCGGACCCAGTGGCTCACGCCTGTAATCCCAGCACTTTGGAAGGCCGAGGCAGGTGGATTGCCTAAGCTCAGGAGTTTGCGACCAGCCTGGACTGTTGCAAAACCCTGGGCTGGTGAAACCCTGTCTCTACTAAAATACAAAAAATTAGCTGGGCGTGGCAGCGTGCATCTATAGTCCCAGCTACTTGAGAGGATTGCAGGGAGCCGAGATCGCCTGGGTGACAGAGTGAGACTCTGTCTCAAAAAAAAAAAAAAAAAAAAAATTACCCTGGTGTGGTGGCTCACACCTGTAGTCCCAGCTACTCGGGAGGCTGAGGCAGGAGAATCGCTTGAACCTAGGAGGTGGAGGTTGCAGTGAACTGAGGTCAGGCCACTGCACTCCAGCCTGGGCAACAGAGTGAGACTCAGTTTCAACAACAACAACAAAAAAGAATTCTTATAGCGTGTAATCTCCAGTCCCTGCTTCCCCTTCCCAGGGTCTTTCTGGTGACCAGCTCATCCTGAAGCTATCTAGGGCCCCCACCCTAAGTCATATTAGCATAAACTCGAGTGTGCTTATAAGGGTTTGTTATTAATATAAAAAGTCACTTCTATCACATACGAAATTCCAAGGGTTTTAGGAGCTCTGCAGGAGAACAAAATATAATAAAAGATACTTATTGGCCAGGCAGAGTGGCTCATGCCTATAATTCCAGTACTTTACAGGCTGAGGTGGGAGAATTGCTTGAGTCCAGGAGTTCATGATCAGCCTGGGCAACGTAGCAAGACCGTATATCTAGTTAAAAACAAAAGAAAGAAAGAGATGTTTATTCAGCAAATAACAAAGGTTTTAGGAGTGCTATTGTAGGAACCCAGGACAAAGACCAAAAATATATATTTCTTATTACACACTGCAAGATTACATCGACCAAGGGCTCACTAAGATAAAATCTTAGGCACTTTCAACTACTAGTTTTACTGGGATACTTTAGTATACTTAGTGGTTGGTATTATTAGATTTTTTTTAAAGTTACTCCTTGCATCTTAAAAGTTCTTATTTAGCACTTACATTACACATTCCTCATCTATCTTAATCCATTCCATTTTCTTAATCCAATCAGTTTTAGTGTCGATTTTTGCAAAGTTTGTTATTTACAACTATTTCCTTTCCATCTGTCTCTGTTCTAGGATATTTATTTGGTTCAAACCTTTCCTCGATTTTGGACAGATGTGTATCCGGATGATGTGTCTCTGAATCCTTATACATCCTCAGACATGTTTTTTGCCCTAACAAGTGAATTATATCTTAATGGGGTATATTGAGTTACAGTGCTTTTCTTCTAGTCAATAGACGCTAGTCTACTCTCTTCTAGCTTCCAGATTGCAGATAGAAACTTGCTGGGCACAGTGGCTCATACTTGTAATCCTAGCACTTTGGGAGGCTGAGGCAGGAGGATTGCTTGAGTCCAGGAGTTTGAGACCAGCCTGGGCAACATAATGAGACCCCTACACTACAAAAAAGAGAGAGAGAGAAAGAGGGGGTGGGGAAGGAGGGAAGGAAGGAAGGAGGGAGGGAGGGAGAGAAGGAAGCCATTTTTTTTAACCAATTGTGAGTAACTTATTCTTTCCACACTTGTTAGAACCTGAAATTTTATAAAATATAGGCATGCATTTTTGTTCTTATGAATCCATCCTTTAGTGAATGTTTTCAATCCGTATAATCTGGTAGAATTTAGGAAAACTGTATTCTTTTATTTGGTTAACTATTGAATCTTCTTCATCCATTCCTCTTCCTCCTTCTAAAATTCCTTTTTTTTTTTTTTTTTTGAGACGGAGTCTCACTCTGTCGTCCAGGCTGGAGTGCAGTGGTGCGATCTCGGCTCACTGCAAGCTCCCCCTCCCGGGTTCACGCCATTCTCCTGCCTCAGCCTCCCGAATAGCTGGGACTACAGGCGCCCGCCACCACGCCCGGCTAATTTTTTGTATTTTTAGTAGAGACGGGGTTTCACCGTGTTAGCCAGGATGGTCTCGATCTCCTGACCTCGTGATCCGCCCGCCTTGGCCTCCCAAAGTTCTGGGATTACAGGCGTGAGCCACCGCGCCCGGCCTAAAATTCCTGTTATTCTCATAGCAGGGTCTCCTGAATTTTTCCTTAAGTCCCATCATTTTATTATTTCCATCTCTATAGGCTTTTGCTCTGTTGTGTTAAAGAAATAATTATTCAATGATACTTGTTAAAGCACATTAAGGAAGACTTTATTTAGCACCATCGCTACAGGTTTAGGGACCACTGCAATGAGTTCTTGCAGTGGAGGAGACAGGTTGGGATCAACTCTGAATGCATCACGGACAAGTGGGAATGTATAGCCAAGGAGCAGTGTAGGGGGTCAGTGGATGGAAAATTGGTAAGAGGCATCAGGGGTAAGGGGGATTCTATCTAAACTGACCTAACAGGATTCTCACTGAAGACAGGCCAGGGTGGTCGGATATCACTTGGGGGATGGTGGAGGATGAGATATTGAGGGTGATCAGATGTCAAGGATGGGAGGTTCTTACTAAAACAGGAATTTACAAGGAGTGCTACGGATATGTAGTGGGGGGAGGCCAGGGATGCTGCTAAACATCCTACGATGCACAGGACGATCTCCTACAATAACGAACTAGCTAGTCCAAAATGTCAATAGCGCCGAGATTGAGAAACCTTCATGTAGCTTACGGATACAGCTTTTACCCAATCGCCAGCATCCTTCTCCTGGGGCTGAACCTCTCCCCCAGGACTGTCAGGAGGAGGCGAGTGATAAGGATCCCAGGACTGCGTTTTGCCTTCCTTCCCCACCCCCACTCCCAACGGCTCCTTTCTCTTCTCTTAGCAGCACCCAGCTTGCCCACCCATGCTCAAGATGGGCGGGATGCCAGCCTGTTACATAAATGTGCCAAAAGCCTGGCCATGCCTGGAAAATGGACCAATCCGCCCGCCAAGAGGTTGGGTCTCGTTCCCTAGAGAGAAGGAAGTTTCCTCTCCTTGAAGTGAGAGCTAGAATCGCACTTTCTGTCAAGCTGAGAGAAAGACTCTTTTCCAGAGGCTAAAAGGACAAGAAAATCTGATTTGCTTGCTTCTAACTTTGCGTTTTAAAGGGGGAAGGAGGAAAGGAAAGAGGGGGAGGGTGGTTCTGCTTAGCCCCACCCCTCCGGCTACCCCAGGTCCAGCCGTCCATTCCGGTGGAGGCAGAGGCAGTCCTGGGGCTCTGGGGCTCGGGCTTTGTCACCGGGACCCGCAGGAGCCAGAACCACTCGGCGCCGCCTGGTGCATGGGAGGGGAGCCGGGCCAGGAGTAAGTAACTCATACGGGCGCCGGGGACCCGGGTCGGGCTGGGGGCTTCCAACTCAGAGGGAGTGTGATTTGCCTGATCCTCTTCGGCGTTGTCCTGCTCTGCCGCATCCAGCCCTGTACCGCCATCCCACTTCCCGCCGTTCCCATCTGTGTTCCGGGTGGGATCGGTCTGGAGGCGGCCGAGGACTTCCCAGGCAGGAGCTCGGGGCGGAGGCCGGGTCCGCGGCAGACCAGGGCAGCGAGGCGCTGGCCGGCAGGGGGCGCTGCGGTGCCAGCCTGAGGCTGGGCTGCTCCGCGAGGATACAGCGGCCCCTGCCCTGTCCTGTCCTGCCCTGCCCTGTCCTGTCCTGCCCTGCCCTGCCCTGTCCTGTCCTGCCCTGCCCTGCCCTGTGTCCTCAGACAATATGTTAGCCGTGCACTTTGACAAGCCGGGAGGACCGGAAAACCTCTACGTGAAGGAGGTGGCCAAGCCGAGCCCGGGGGAGGGTGAAGTCCTCCTGAAGGTGGCGGCCAGCGCCCTGAACCGGGCGGACTTAATGCAGGTACCCAGGGCTCAGCCGCGCCGGGGCGGGCGGGACTCCAGAGCCTCCCTCTCAACAGCACTCAGTGGACATTGACCAGACGTGAAGGCGTGCACCGCTCCACACCCAGCAGGCAGCTGCGCTGGGGCTTCCCAGACCTAAACCCAGGGCGCCCTCTTTGTTCATGCAAAACAAGGGGGAGTACTTGTAAAGCAGAATCCACCCCGAGCTAATCCATAGCCACTCAGGCCTCCAGATGAGGGCGGAACTAACATTGTTGTGGGGTGTGGGCACACTTACTCCCCAGGCTACCCTGTTCGCCATCTTAATTCTACAGATAAGGAAACTGAAGTTCAGTGAGGTTAAGCAGTACGCCCAAGGCCGTGACACTAGCAATCAGAAGAGCTGGGATTCAAGCTGAGGTCTTTGTGGCTCCAAAGACCTCTTAACTCTTTCCACTCTGAGAGTCCCGGAGCTGACAGCGGGCAGTACTCTTAAGAATTTTCTTCTGTCTGATGCTGATTTACTGACCTGGGCCAGCTGCATTGGTTGGGGTCATTCAGAAATGTGCATCAGAATCCCCCGGGGCACAAAAGAAACGTGATGGGGGCCCAGGCACGTGTACTTTGAAATACTCCTCAGGTGGTTCTGCCACACACTCCTGGTTAAGTCCCTCTGCTCTACAGCTTCTGAGGACTGGGGTGAGTGAGCACAGAGCCTAGCGCTTGATGCATGGGAACCATCGTCAAGGTTCCTAATCCCACTACTATTATTTCCCGTCTGGGACTCAGTTTCTCCATCTGTAAAGCAAGGGGTTCAGATGAGGTAAATAGCTAAGGACTCTACCAGTTATAACATCCACTGATCATGTGACCTCCAGTTTATTTGCATAAAACTAATGGCCTCTCCTTTTTCTTCTCCTTACTTACAAAAACCTGACTTCATTCTGAAATTTATTTTTGAAAAAAAAAAGAGGGGATCTTGGAAGGGGGGCCAGGGGTAGTGACATACAGATTTCTGATCATGCTCACCACTTAGTGCACTTCTTTCTCTGCAGAGACAAGGCCAGTATGACCCACCTCCAGGAGCCAGCAACATTTTGGGACTTGAGGCATCTGGACATGTGGCAGAGCTGGGGCCTGGCTGCCAGGGACACTGGAAGATCGGGGACACAGCCATGGCTCTGCTCCCCGGTGGGGGCCAGGCTCAGTACGTCACTGTCCCCGAAGGGCTCCTCATGCCTATCCCAGAGGGATTGACCCTGACCCAGGCTGCAGCCATCCCAGAGGCCTGGCTCACCGCCTTCCAGCTGTTACATCTTGTGGGTGAGGAGGCCTCCATGCTCACTCCACACAATGTGGCTCAACACCTTCATAAATCAGCCAACTTGAATCCCAGCAATCCCCCAGGGCACTCCCAGGCCTTCCTGTATCACCTGTATTGTCAGGTCCTCAAACCATGTTAGAAGGGTTTAATGTTGAGGCTGAGAATCATGGTTAGCAGATAGAGGGTCTGGATAACACTAGATAGGAGGCCTATGTACATGTTAACACCGGACGCCCAGCAGAAGTCCCAGCTTCTTAGAATCATACTGAGCTTCTCTCTGGGGTCCCAGTGCAACAGAAGGGACCAATTGACTCATTTATTCCTCCTCAATCCCACAGAGGCCAGTCAAGAACTCACATAAGGGAATCTAAGAAGACTTGGTCCTTGCCTTTAGACAGTGCAGTGTAACTGAGAAGGCAACATATGCATAAGATCAGATGACCATAGAGTTTAGAAGGATAGCCCTGTCTATGATAGAAGCTGGAGATGAGTAAAGATGGTGTGGACAAGGGTAGTCAGAAGGCTTTTTGGAAGGCTTTGAAGGGTGGGTAGACTTGTGAAGGACATAAGGCATGCCAAGGTGGCCTAAGAAAGAGTATCAGCCAGGCAAGGTGGCTCACACCTATAATCGTAGCACTTTGGAAGACAGATCACGAGCCCAGGAGTTCAAGATCAGCCTGGGCAACATGGCGAAACCCTGTTTCTACAAAAAATACAAAAATTAACCAGGCATGATGGTGCATGCCTGTTGTCTCAGTTACTCAGGAGGCTGAGTTGGGAGGATCACCTGAGCCCAGGAAGGTCAAGGCTGCAGTGAGCCATGATCATGCCACTGCACTCCAGCCTGGGCAGTAGAGTGAGACTCTGTCTCAAAGAAAAAGAAAGAGTAGGCTGGGCGTGGTGGCTCACGCCTGTAATCCCAGCACTTTGGGCGGCTGAGGTGGGTGGATCATGAGGTCAGGAGATCGAGACCATCCTGGCTAACACGGTGAAACTTCATCTCTACTAAAAATACAAAAAATTAGCTGGGCGTGGTGGTGGGCACCTGTAGTCCCAGCTACTCAGGAAGCTGAGGCAAGAGAATGGCATGAACGCAGGGGGGGTGGGGCAGAGCTTGCAGTGAGCCAAGATTGCGCCACTGCACTCCAGCCTGGGTGACAGAGTGAGACTCCGTCTCAAAAAAAAAAAAAAAACAGTATCAAGGTGAGACCAGCCACTGCACTCAGTAGTGAAGGATGACTATTGTGATTTGTGAAAAATGAGGCTGGAGCCAGATCATGGTGTCCTTGAATATCAAGCTGTCTGGACTCAATGCAAAAGCCAATGGAGAAGCACTTTACATTTTGAGGAGGAAGTAACATAATGCAAGTGCCATCTTAGGAAGAGGAGCCTGGTGGCTGTGTGTTGCCTGGATCAGGAAGACCAGCTGGAGGCCAGTTTCAGACTCTAGAAGGACTGGCTTTCGGTGGTGACCATGGGAATGGTAGTTGTTCTTACTTATTCAGGTGTAGGTCAGAGATGTGCATTTTGGTGTTATAGGTAAAATAGAGATTATGGATGTGGCTGCTTATAGCCCTGTTTCAAAAGGCTGTTTTCCACTTTAGCCAGAGGCAATAAGACAGAAAAGGTCGTCAATATGCTCTTTTTCTTTCTCCAAAGAACAAGATGGTTTGTATTTGAGTCACAGCGTCCCACCCCCACCAGCCCACCCCCACCCCACCAAATAAAAAAGGAAAAGCAAAAGATTGATTTGGCATTTGGTGCAACGGCCAGGTGATCTTGATAGAATATGCCTGTGTGGGGAATGTGTAGCAGTTGCAAAGTAAAGAGAACCCTGTACTTTCTGTCACAGGAAATGTTCAGGCTGGAGACTATGTGCTAATCCATGCAGGACTGAGTGGTGTGGGCACAGCTGCTATCCAACTCACCCGGATGGCTGGAGCTATTCCTCTGGTCACAGCTGGCTCCCAGAAGAAGCTTCAAATGGCAGAAAAGCTTGGAGCAGCTGCTGGATTCAATTACAAAAAAGAGGATTTCTCTGAAGCAACGCTGAAATTCACCAAAGGTAAACAACTGCTTCTACAGTTCAGCAGGAATTTAAGAGATGATTAAATAAAAGCCCCACCAGTCTCAAAGTTGCCAGTGCTGTGTATCAGTCTTACCTCTGCTAAGTGCACAACAGCTGCCCTGGCCAAATTCTAGTACTATGGTATTTGACCACTGGAGACAGGCAGTCATATTTAAATCTAAGATGGTTTCCATGTGCATTCTTGCAAGAGATAAGATTCATCCACACTTTAGACCATGCAGACTTGGTCTGGAATTATCCAGCACCTTTTCTTCCCAACCAGCCATTCCACACTTAGTTAACAGGAGGCTTGGAGGCAGAGACCAGTTTGGAGCCAGCCATGGTAGGGTTGGGTGGTAGCACCCTAAATGAGTAAGTAGATGTGCACACCTCTGTATTCCAAAGCCAGACGTGTCTATTTTTGGCTCATCCCTTTCCGTTTCTCTTTCTTTTTTTTTTTTGAGATGGAGTCTCACTCTGTCACTGAGGATGGCGTGCAGTGGCTTGATCTCGGCTCGCTGCAACCTCCGCCTCCCAGGTTCAAGTGATTCTCCAGCCTTAGCCTCCTGAGTAGCTGAGATCACAGGCGCACCACCACGCCCAGCTAATTTTTGTATTTTTAGTAGAGACGGGCTTTCACTATGTTGGCCAGGCTGGTCTCGAACTCCTGACCTCAGGTGATCCACCTGCCTCAGCCTCCCAAAGTACTGGGATTACAGGCATGAGCCACCATGCCTGGCCTCCATTTTTTATGTGAGTAGAAAAGGAGAGATGAAACCAAAGCTAGAAAGCCTATGATTCCAATAACCTAGTGCGGACACTTCCTAACTTCTATGTGAACAACTAGCCTAGGTTGGGCCTCCTGTATTCTGTTCTCAATCGTGCCTGGGTGTCAGTGGGACTGTACTTATTTTGGCATGACAGGAGACGCTAGGTCATGGTGCCCCATTTCCCTCTTGCTGTAGCTAGGCCTCATAAATGGTGAACTTCATACATGCTATCATAGAGTTCTGCTATCTAAACTCCATTTACAACAGTTCTTCAAGCAGTGTTTCTAATTCCAACCTATAGATTTACCACTTGCATCTGTATTTATATCCATAATCCCCAAATATACCATGGTATCTTATTTAGCACCAAGCTGACTAGCATCACAAATCTGTTTCCTATGGAAGGTGCTGGAGTTAATCTTATTCTAGACTGCATAGGCGGATCCTACTGGGAGAAGAACGTCAACTGCCTGGCTCTTGATGGTCGATGGGTTCTCTATGGTCTGATGGGAGGAGGTGACATCAATGGGCCCCTGTTTTCAAAGCTACTTTTTAAGCGAGGAAGTCTGATCACCAGTTTGCTGAGGTCTAGGGACAATAAGGTGAGTGATGAATGAAAAGAAAACATGTGATTTAACCCAGAAAAGTGTGGTTCATTTACATTACCCCGAGAAAGGAAGCTCTACCTTAGATTACGGAGGTTAGTTTCTATGAAGAAACCTCCCCCTCTGAAGATAAAGAGGGAACCCGATTTCAGAGAACTGATTCAGATTGGTTGATAGAAGCTTCAGTATCATGAAAAGAAGTGTAGCTGATACTTCACAGGTTATCTGAACATTCTAACAGAATGAAGAAAGCACTGACTATATTAGGAAGTATTTCGAGTAGTTCCAAGACTTTGTTTTCAAAGGCAGAATTCATCTCAGTGTGCTAGAAAGTCTCTTAGGTGAGTAAAAAAATAAGTAAGCCTTGGCCTTCAACAGATTATAGGTTCCATGCCGGGCACAGTGGCACTTGCTTGTAGTCCCAGCTACTTGGAAGGCTGAGGCAGAGGATTGCTTGAGTCCAGGAGTTTCAAGGCTGCAGTGAGCTATGATTGCACCTGTGCATAGCCACTGTACCCCAGCCTGAGCAACATAGCAAAACCTCATCTCAAAAAAAAAAAGATTATATGCTCCTGAAATATTCCATCTGGCAGTCTAGCAGGTACCACCTTTGGGAATGTTTCCACCATAGGGTTTTGCACCAGCTGAGGGACAGGAGAGCTTAAGCATCCTTTTTTCACTAAGCCTATATGAGTCCTATCTGTGGCTGCCTCCTGGGTAAAGACACTTTATTTAAAAACAATTCTTAGGCTGTCAGTGACACTAACATTTTACTCCAGGCTTCAGTCTTTATCTGGTACAGAACAGAAGTTACACATTTGGAGGTACAAGGGAGCCAGAGATCACCTGTAACCCCCCTTTAGCTCCTATGTGGTCTCTTCAGCTGGCTCTAGAAACCAAATTGATACCAGCAGATTGACAGGAGAAAAGCATGTACTTTTTTTTTTTTTTTTTTTTTTTATGGAGACAGGGTCTTACTCTGTCACCCAGGCTGGAGTGCAATGGCACAATCAGCCTCCTGGGTAGCTAAGACTGAAGGCATACCACCATGCCTGGCTTGTATTTTTTATAGAGACAGGTTTTCACCATGTTGCCCAGGCTGATCTCAAACTCCCAGGCTCAAGTGATTCGGCCAAAGTAAGATGCTTTTGTAATTTTTAGACAAAGAACAATAAATTTGAGAAGAAATAAGACAAAATCTGGCTAGGGATAGTAAATTTCTAGGGAAGTCACTAGGAGATATATGGGGGTGGGGGGTGTAAAACTAGTGGAAGATAAGGGTTACTTCCTTAAGTGTATTTATTCAGTTCCATTGCAGCCCCGTTTCCAGTCTCTGGTGATAAGGGCTTTTTGCCCTAGTATGGGGAGGGTACCCCTCTCAGAGGAATCTTTATGACTTGCTACATGCAAGAAGAGACAGGTCAGCTAGCCTTTTCTGAAACTACAATTTCTCCAATGCTTTCACCTCAAAATTAACAATATACCTATCGGACATATTCTGAGATGGCACATGACTCCTTCAAGGGTATTTCACACACATGCTAGGAAGTGAGGGGTTAAGTGTCCCTGTGTGCTTTTTCAGATACGTGGCTTCAGAGAGAGCAAGAAGGCTGAGGAGGATGAGGAGGGCAGGGTGAGGCTCTCTCCCCAGGCTGATGATCTCCTTTCCCTTGTCTTAGTACAAGCAAATGCTGGTGAATGCTTTCACGGAGCAAATTCTGCCTCACTTCTCCACGGAGGGCCCCCAACGTCTGCTGCCGGTTCTGGACAGAATCTACCCAGTGACCGAAATCCAGGAGGCCCATAAGTACATGGAGGCCAACAAGAACATAGGCAAGATCGTCCTGGAACTGCCCCAGTGAAGGAGGATGGGGCAGGACAGGACGCGGCCACCCCAGGCCTTTCCAGAGCAAACCTGGAGAAGATTCACAATAGACAGGCCAAGAAACCCGGTGCTTCCTCCAGAGCCGTTTAAAGCTGATATGAGGAAATAAAGAGTGAACTGGAAGGGTGGCACGCGGACTGGGGCCGCCGCGGCGGGGTTGAGGTGGGAGTCCGGACGGGCGTCGCAGCGGGGATTACTGAGGCCCGATCAGCTGACGCTCAACCTGAGGGCCCCTCCAGGGACGGAGATTCTGGGTATAGTTACAGCGTCAGCCGTGACACAAGCCGCCAGAACCCCACATATTCCGCCTTGCGCACAGCTAGAGGCCCAGGCCCACCACCTCCGGCACCTGCCCGCGCGCCCCGCAACCAGTGGGCACCACAGCAGGCCCCAGCCCTGCCCGCTACTCACCTGGGCCCCACCCCACCTCTCGCCGCCCTCCTCAGGCCCCACCACCTCCCGCTACACATCTGAGCCCCGCCCCACCTCCACCACTTTCCTCAGCCCCAACCACCTCCTGCTACACTTCTGGGCCCCGCCGCACCTCCACCACCCTCCTCAGGCCCCGATCCCTTCCGCTACTCACCTGGGTCCCGCCCCAGCTCAGTCCTCCTCAGGCCCCGCCTTCGCCCGCTACTCACCTGGGCCCCACCCCACCTCTCGCCACCCTCCTCAGGCCCCACCACCTCCCGCTACACATCTGGGCCCCGCCCCACCGCCACCACCCTCCTCAGGCCCCGCCCCTTCCATTACTCACTTGGGTCCCGCCCCAGCTCACCGCCTTGCTCAGGCCCGGCTCCCTCCCGGATACTCACTTGGGCCCCACCCCAGCTCTCCGCACCCTCCTCAGGCCCCGCCCCCTCCCGCTACTCACCTGGGTCCCGCCCTACCTGTCATAACCCTGCTCAAGCCCCGCCTCCTCCGCTCCCCAGTTACTCACCTGAGACCCGCCCCAGCTCTCCGCCCTCCTCAGGCCCCGCCCTCTCCACCCGGGTTCCTCTGCTCAGGGCCTCCCCGACCGGAACATCTCGCCTTTTGGAGGCTACGCCCCGCCCTTTACGGTACAGAGCCCGGAAGTGTCTTGGACTCTCGCCTTTCCATCTTCCGGCCTCGAGTCTCGCTCAGGCTCGGTTTTACCCCGGAGTCTATTCGAAGGGGGCTGCTACGTCAGCGCGTCTCAGCGTAAGACGGCGCTATTCCGCTGTAACAGCTTCCGGCGGGTCCTGGATGTTGATGTCCTGCATCTAACGCGGTGTAACCCCCGAAGCCGAGCGAGCTCCGGAGGAATTTCAGTATCTGCTACGGTAACTTCATCAGCCCGCCAAGATGGCGATGCAAGCGGCCAAGAGGGCGAACGTGAGTATCGGGTGTTCTGCGGAGGGTGGGAGAACTTCGGGTTTGACTTTCTTAGCGGCGTGGATCGGAGCATTCTTGCTCCTCCTCCGTCCCCAGAGCGGAGAACTCCAGAATTCCTATCCTGTCAGCGAAGACACTATCCGGCCCCATCCTCAGAGATATGCTCCTTGAGCCACATTTCTGTCCCCACCCCTTTTGAGAGTTCCTCAGTCTCTACCCTAGTGTCAGTGATAGTGTTACCCCTATAGCCTCTTTGCTTGACCCGCACCTAAGGACCTGGCGTTAGGATTATCTCCTTGACTTAAAGTCGATATCTCAGAAGAGTCCTCAACTAACTTAATGGTTCACCAACAACTAGGACCTGGGATTCCCCTCAGATCATGGTGCTTTTCGGATCCTTCATTAACACATTAATTAAAACAATATTTTTTGAGCACCTACTATGTATTCTGCTTGCCATGTGGGACATAATTCATCAATTATATTTATTGAATAGCTACTATGTGCCAGACACTAGTCTTACGTATTGGGAATACAGCAGTGAATAAAACAAGTCCTTCTGCTTACATTCTAGTGTTTGAGAGTACAGTGTTACGGAAACTTTTAAAAAAAAAAAACTCAAAAAAGAGATTAGTCAACAGTAAAACGCTTAGAGGTGTAAGATGAAGTTAGGCCGAGTGAGGTGGCTCATGCCTGTAATCCCCGCACTTTTGGAGGCTGAGGTGGGAGGATTGCTTGAGCCCAGGAATTCAAGGCTGCCTTGAGCCATGATTGTGCCACTGCGCAGCACTTCAGCCCAGGAGACAGAGCAAGACCCTGACTCAAAAAAAAAAAAAAAAACAGAAAGAAAGAAAGAAAGAAAGAAAAGACAAGCAATTGACCATTGTATATGTAAATGGAGACTTTTGGTGACCTTGATGATAGGAATCATTTCAGTGGATGAAAACTTGATTGCAGTGGGGTGAAAAGATGGTGGAAGTTGAGAAAATGGAAACAGCAAAGACACTCTGTCCATGAGTTCTCATTTAAATAGGAAGTAGGGAAATTGGATGATAGTTGACTTTTTTTTTTGAGATGGACTCTCACTCTGTCACCCAGGCTGGAGTGCAGTGGCACAGTCTTGGCTCACTGCAACCTCTGTCTCCTGAGTTCAAGCAATTCTCCTGCCTCAGCCTCTTGAGTAGCTGGGATTACAGGTGCCCACCACCATGCCCGGCTAATTTTTGTATTTTTAGTAGAGACAGGGTTTCTCCGTGTTGGCCAGGCTGGTCTCAAACTCCTGACCTCAAGTGATCCACCTGCCTTGGCCTCCCAAAACGCTGGGATTACAGGCATGAGCCACCGCACCCGGCCAGATAGTTGACTTTTTAAAAGATGTGTGATATAGGTGTATCTTTATGCCAATGGGAGCAATCCAGCAGAGTGTGCGAAACATGATATGGAAGAAAGATAGGTTGAGTTTAGAAGTGAAGGTTTTGAGTAGATGAAGGTTGGCGTAGTAATAGAGGGAAAGTAGTTGGATATAGATGAAAAGTATTTCAATTGGTCATGTCTATTTTCTCCAAGAAACAAGAATCAGGGTCATCTCCTGGGATGGGCAGGGAAGAGGGTACAGCCCAACTCAGGTGTTAGCAGGAGTGATGGTGGTAAGGTTTGCAAAGGCCTACACCCACCACCATGCCTGGCTAATTTTTTAAAATTTTTGTAGAGATGGGGGTCTCACTATGTTGTCCAGGCTGGTCTCAAACTCCTGGGCTCAAGTGATCCTCCCACTTTGCCTCCCAAAGTGCTGGGATTATAGGGACCAGCCACTGCACCCAGCCTCTGTTGCTTTTTCAAAGATCTGCCCATTTTCAGAAACATCAAATTATACCTCTTATTCTTGGCTTTTTATTATTACGTATCATTAAGAATTTTTTAAAATGCCCCTAATTATAGGGGCATTTAAATTATAATTTTTTAGAATGCCCCTAATTATAATAACAATACGTATTTCTCATTTTAGATTCGACTTCCACCTGAAGTAAATCGGATATTGTATATAAGAAATTTGCCATACAAAATCACAGCTGAAGAAATGTATGATATATTTGGGAAATATGGACCTATTCGTCAAATCAGAGTGTGAGTCTTACTGAGTCATTTAAAGAAAATGATAGCATAATCTGTAATTTCAGAATTATAGCTGACGATGAGGCCACCCTGTGCTGTGTGCAGTGCGACAACCCTTACCAAGAGCCTTGAGACTAGCAGATTGAGATCAGAGAGATGAGATCTTTTTGAAGGGGGGAGAAAACCTACTGAGACCCTAATGATCCAGCTCAATGAGAGCCAAGAAGAGGATTTGAGTTTCCTCAAAGCATTCATTGAAGTAGTAATGAATGCTTTGAGGAAACTGGTTGAGAAGGGAAAGAACTAACATTTATTGCATACCTGTTATTTGTAAAGCTAGCTTGTTACACTGTGTTTTTTGTATGCAGCAGCTCTATAATTTTCTCAACAATCATCACTGTCTCTTTAAATAACCCCAGAATTTCTGAATAAACTAAGTAAAAGAGTATAAAAGTAACAGAAAAAAATGATATTTTCAACTACAGCTCTTTCAATTGAAGATGTAAAAGTATAGAGGAAAACATCTAATTACAAGCATTCACGTTTTAATTTAATATAAAGATTGGGGTTCATACCTTCAAGTGATATTTACTGGACATCTACTGAATACCATTAACCATAATAAGTGCTTTTATTTGGATCAACAAAACTATAGCCCTGAGAGTAAAGTACCTTTCTATCTTACAGTGCTTAGTGGTAAAATCTTCTGACTCTAAATTGAACCTCTACATTACACAGTACCATAGCCTCTGACACCCGAACTCATATGAAAGGGCTAGTGACTTAAGAGTCCATCTGAAAGGATTTCTAAAGTTTTTATTTTAAAAAAATTATTATTTTACCACAGTAATGACTACGTATAAAGTTTTTATTTCTAGTCGGAATTCCGTCTTGTATGACTTGAGAGCTCCTTCCTGGCTTTAGGACTATGAGGTCTTGAGGACCCTCCTTTTGAATGACACTGTCCCTCCAGAGAGTAAACCAAGAGCTGGAAATACATGATCATTGGTACTCAGATGGGGATGAAAGTGAAAGTGTTATAGACCAGCTGTCCTTTTTAGGAGGTCTCAGTCCTTTGAGCATCTGATAAAAGCTTTAGACTCCTTCCACAGAAGAATACACTCATGTTGCATATATTTCAGGGGATACATGGACTCTAGGTCAAGAAACCCTGCTCTAGATACAGAATGGTATACAAGGCCAGGAGTTCAAGACCTGCCTGGCCAACATGGCGAATCCCTGCCTTGGGGATCAGGAGACAAGATTCTACTTCAGGCCTTGTTACTAGCCATGTGTGTGACTAGTTGCCTAGCTTTTTTGGTTTTCTCTTCATGTATGAGATAATCTGGGTGGTGGCCTTTTAGCTTTTAATGTGGAAACAGCATAGATTGGTTGTAAGGCCTGGGTTCAAATACTGGCTTGCCTACTCTTACGAAACTGGAGAAAATATTTAACCTTATCTGGGTTTCAATTATCTATGAAATACAGTCTTCCTAACCTACTGTCTTAAAAGAATTTTAATTTGGATGAAATTACACAGTGTCTGTGAAGGTACTTTATCAGTTTTCCTTCCCAGTGTACATTAGCCACTCTTCTGCTCCCATAGCATTTCCATGTGTCTCTCCTAGGTTAACACATGGTTTTGCTGTTGTCTCTATATTCATCTGTCACCCTGGGCAGGTTGTGAGTTCCTCCAGGGCTCGTACCATATATTATTTTTGTTTTTGTGTTGATAGCACTTGTGCGATACATGGTAAGCACCCGATGTATACTAAATGAATAATATAGAAAATAGTAGAATAGGCCAGATGTGGTGGCTCACACCTGTAATCCCGGCACTTTGGGAGGCCGAGACAGGCAGATCACCAGAGGTTAGGAGTTCGAGACCACCCTGGCCAAATGGTGAAACCCCCTCTCTAAAAAAAAATACAAAAATTAGCTGGGCATGGTGGCACGCGCCTGTAATGCAATTACTCAGGAGGCTCAAGTGGGAGAATCGCTTGAACCTGGGAGGCTGAGGCTGCAGTGAGTGAGCCGAGATCATGCCACTGCACTCCAGTCTGGGCGACAGAGTGAGATCCTGTTTCAACAAAAGAAAAGAAAATAGAAGAATAATATAAAAAGTGGTTGTGATTGGTTTACTAGGGCATTATAAAATTTATTGATAGTACTCAATTAAGGGATGCTTAAAATCAGTGAAGTTAGAGAATGTTTCAGAAAGCCAAAATGAAAGGACAGGGAATAAAGCAGGGGCATCTTCAGAAGAGTGCAGAGCAGCTCAGAACCTTTGTGCTTCTATTTTCCTTGTATCTGGAATGGTTTTCACCAGCTCATCTCATGCCTGGCTCCTCCTCATTCTTCAGGTCTCAGCTTCAGTGTCACCTTTTCAGAGGGGTTTTCCCTGACCACCCTAGCTGAAGTAGCTCCCTGTTTCCCTATCTGTTACAGCTTTCTACTTCTTGTATGAAACATTTCTTTTTTTAAGATGGAGTTTCGCTCTTGTTGCCCAGGCTGGAGTGCAATGGCACGATCTCGGCTCACTGCAAACTCCGCCTCCCAGGTTCAAGTGGTTCTCCAGCCTCAGCCTCCTGAGTTGCTGAGATTACAGGCACCCACCAGCATGCCTGGCTAATTTTTGTATTTTTAGTAGAGATGGGGTTTCACCACGTTGGCCAGGCTGGTCTTGAACTCCTGACCTCAGGTGATCCTCCCACCTCGGCTTCCCAAAGTGCTGGGATTACAAGCATGAGCCACCGTGCCAAGCCGAAACATTTCTTAAGATTTATAATTATTTCAGGGCTGGGCGCAGTGGCTCACGCCTGTAATGCCAGCACTTTGGAAGGCTGAAGTGGGCAGATCACAAGGTCAGGAGTTTGAGAACAGCCTGACCAACATGGTGAAACCTCGTCTCTACTAAAAATACAAAACTTAGCCAGGCGTGGTGGTGCATGCCTATAATCCCAGCTACTCAGGAGGCTGAGGCAGGAGAGCCGCTTGAACCCGGGAGGTGGAGGTTGCAGTGAGCCAAGATCATGCCACTGTACTCCAGCCTGGGCGACAGAGTGCGACTCCGTCTCAAAAAGAAAAAAAAAAGATTTATAATGATTTCATATTTATTTAATGTCTTTCTACTGCCTGAATATAAGCTTGAAGGAAGGGATGATGCTTATCTTTTTCACTATTGTATTTCTAGTGCCTGTCGCAGAAAGAACATAGTCTATGTGTTGAATAGGTTAATAGAAGTTTAGGGTACAGGAGCTTAGGTCTAAATTATAGATTGAGAAACAGCTGTTTTTCTGTTCCATTACTGTGATCATGCTTTATTGTATACCTGGCACCTGGCACTAGGGTGACCAACCTTCCCAGTTTGCCCAGTACTGAGAGATTTTCTGGGACACTGGACTTTCAGTGCTAAAACCTGGACAGTCCCAGTCAAATCAGGATGATTTGGTTTGACCCTACCTGGCATGTAGCAGGCACTTGGTACTTTGTACTTTTTAAAACTCTTTGATACTTGTTACCTCTTTTGATTATTAAACCCACGTGGAAGGTAGGGCACGTGATAGAGCCTGATGGCACTGGATACATGAAGCATCCGAAGCTCACAGAGGCTAAGTTACACGCTTAGGTGTTCTTATTCCTACTCTAAGATTTTAATGCCAGTCAAGAAAATTGTAGCACTTTGGGAGGCTGAGGTGGGTGGATCACTTGAGGCCAGGAGTTCGAGACCTGCCTGGCCAACATGGCAAAACCCCATCTCTACTAAAAATACAAAAATTAGTCGGGCATGGTGGCGCACACCTGCACAAGAATTGGTTGACTCTGTCTCAAAAAAATAAGAAAATAATGTTAGCTCAGTGTCCAATACGTGGTAGGTACAGATACATGCTTTTAAAAGTTCAAATTATAATATGGCTCTCAAGGTGTGAGGTTGATAATTAGGGCTGGGACACTTAAGATGGAGAGTCTTTAAAGTGGGGTTAGTGTCTATCCCTATTCTAGTTCCTAAGAAGATATAAGAGGAAGAAAGAGAGTTGCTTTGTTTAGTTTTGTTTTGAGCTTCCTGAACAAAGTGTGTGTGAGAGAACTGATAGAAGAAAGTAGATCTCCACTTTTCAAAGGCGTATTAGCGTCTGCCTTATGCGTGGCACTAAAGGAATAAATGAAGTACGCATAAGATCACCTTTGCTCTTAAGGAACTGAAAATCTTATTAAGTTTTTAGAAGTCAAAAGTCTGAAAGTTGTTAAGACTTGCCAGAGCCTAAAGAACATTCTAAAACCCCTCGTCAGGCCCACACAACCTGACAAAGTGAGCGCATTCATTGACAGTGGCACCCTCCAATCACCCCCAGTACCCTATTCCTTTTCAATTTTACAGGAAGCACAAGCTTGAACAGGGCCCAGACTATAGTCCTATCCTAGATCAAGTCTAGGCAGGTACCTCCTCTTCCCATGGCTCCACTGCTTTTATTCAACCCTATGTAAGGACTGTGGCAGATGGAGAGTCAGCCCACAGTCTTAAACCTCATTCCACAGTTGCACTGGGTGGTTGGAACACAGATGGAGGCAAGGGGGCCATCTTGTCACCCAGAGCCTGAACTGAGTGGGACCTCTACCCATTGTCTCCACTAACAGTCACATGGCCACCTGCTGCCTGCAATTTAGCGTTGCGTTGCTCCTCAAACTTCTCTACCTCTCCCAGAGGAAGTTGGTGAGGTGAAGGAAGGAAGTGGCCAGGAATAACTACACTAACAGCAACCTCGTATCCATAAGTAAGGTTAGCTTCCACTTCCAGCCACCTTCCAGCATTCTGCCCTGGCTCACTGATAACCCTATCCACAAGCACACTTCCACTCCCATCTTTGCAGAAGCCTAGCCCTTCTCCCTAGCCACACAGCTGTATCGTGCATTAGCACTTGAGTTGTATTAAAAATGAATGTAGACCGGGTGTGGTGGCTCATGCCTGTAATTCCAACACCTTGGGAGGCTGAGGCAGGCGGATCACTTGAAGTCAGGAGTTTAAGACCAGCCTGGGGAACATGATGAAACCCTGTCTCTACTAAAAATACAAAAATTAGCTGGGCATGGTGGCACATGCCTCCAGTCCCAGCTACTTGGGAGGCTGAGACACAAGAATCACTTGAACTTGAGAGGCAGAGGTTGCAATGAGCTGAGATTGTGCCACTGCACTCCAGCCTAGGCAACAGAGTGAGAGTCTATCTCAAAAAAACAAAAACAAAAACAAAAACAAAACAAAACAAAGACAACGTAGAGCCAGTCAGGGTGGCAAGAGCACCTGTAGTCCCCACAACTCACGAGGCTGTTCTGTGTAGTAGCTGTGTTCTTAGTATTCCTGATGTGACAGTCAGCTTGACCTATGGATATTTTAGTTAAGATAAAAACGAAGAACAAAATTACCTAATTCAAGAAATTACAGGCTTATCCGGTATATCTATCCATGTTTATTTCCTCTGATGGTTTCAGGTTGATTTCAAAATACTTAACTAAAAACGTATTTCAATTTACTGTTTTTAAAAGACAGTTACCAGTTTAAAAGACAGTTCTGTAAGTCAACTATCAATGCTCAGGTAAATGTATATCTTAATTAAGTTTAACTTACCTCTCCAGGGGGAACACACCTGAAACTAGAGGAACAGCTTATGTGGTCTATGAGGACATCTTTGATGCCAAGAATGCATGTGATCACCTATCGGGATTCAATGTTTGTAACAGATACCTTGTGGTTTTGTACTATAATGCCAACAGGGTAAGTATAGCAAAGTTCTCATTGTGTAGTGATCTCATTTGAGAATTAGTGTAGAACTGGCCGGGCGCGGTGGCTCATGCCTGTAATCCCAGCATTTTGGGAGGCCGAGGTGGGCGGATCACGAGGTCAGGAGATCGAGACCATCCTGGCTAACACGGTGAAACCCCGTCTGTACTAAAAATACAAAAAATTAGCCGGGCGTGGTGGCGGGCGCCTGTAGTCCCAGCTACTCGGGAGGCTGAGGCAGGAGAATGGCGTGAACCCCAGGGGGTGGAGCCTGCAGTGAGCCAAGATCACGCCACTGCACTCCAGCCTGGGCAACAGAGAGACTCCGTCTCAAGAGAATTAGTGTAGAACTGTACTGTGATGATATATGTCTACTATGACTTTCTTTTTTGGCTAATGCTATTGATGAAATTCATTTGGCTGTAGATTGGTAATTTAATTTTGGTGCTTACCACATTTCCAGGCATTTCAGAAGATGGACACAAAGAAGAAGGAGGAACAGTTGAAGCTTCTCAAGGAGAAATATGGCATCAACACAGATCCACCAAAATAAATGTTTTCTACATTTTCATTTGGACTAAATCCCACGAATGACAACTACCACCTTTTTTTCCTTTTTAATTAATACTAAATATTGTGATTTCTTATTTGAGGTTCAAAATGACCTGCTTGAAACTTTGATACATATTGGAATACATTATGTTAATAAACTTGTAGCTTTTTGTGAAACACCTCAGTCTTTTCTCTTGAACTTTCCCTTCCTGTTTGATACCAGGAAAAAACAGTTGAAGCTTATCAAGAATTGTAGGTGCTCCTAGGGATTCTGAGTTTCTTGAGAACAGGATCTCTTTACATTCTTAATGCCTCCAGGGCCCGGTGCAGTGCTTAGCCATCAAAGGAACTTGCTGTTTATTGCATGTCCATTAATAATGAAATCTTCATAACAACTCAGTGAAGATAGGTATTTGCATTTTGCAGGTGAGGAAACCAAAGTTCATGATGTTGGTTGAATGAATAAAATGCTAACATACAAAGCTGGTGTGATAACAACCAGTTATTAACCAAGCCTTTACATTTGAATAATGCTTGCTTTATAGTTAACAAAACACCTGTGTCAATATGGGTACCCTTGTCTTTAGAACAGAGGTCTATTATAGAAATGGTCATTTAGATGATAGTACATTGTTAGAAACTTAGATTTGCCTCTTTAAATTGTTTTTTAATTATTATGGGTACATAATAATTGTCACATTGGTAGAAATTTGAGAGCAAGCTGCTTGGGTAGTGGCGTTGGTTGTTACATGTCTAAGATTGTATTTATGTAGACTTTTCCTTTAGTTATTAAGTATCTGTAGGTATATTGGACCTTAGCTCATAATATATCTTTGCCATAAATACTTAATGCTCATTCTTATTATCATGAGTTCCCATGACATGGAAACAGTATGGTTATTACCCCATTCATCATCATGGCAGCTTGGGAGAATATAGCCGTAATTTGCTTTTTATTGCTTAGGCATGGACCAAATGGAAAAACATGGACTAATTGTTTTGTGTGTGATTGGAACCTAAAATCAATTTGAAGGTACATACACTGAATCACTTCAATGTACAAAGAGCATCAATTCTGCTTTTAATTATATCTGAGTGTTTTTTGAAAGCAGTGTAAGAGAGTAGAGTCATTTCTAAGGGTGGGAAGATAAGAAAGGAGCTACAGCTGTAATTTTCTTTTGAATGCTTTTATGAATGCATTATTAGTTTTTGTAATGCACGGTGTGCCTTTAGGTAATGTAAAAAGAATTTTCTAAAAGACTTTCTTGTAAGAGAAAAACTGAAATTAGACTTTAAAACTTAGAGTGTGATTTGTCTAAGTGGCAGGCTAGCTTGCCTCTGGTGTAGTTGTTTTAATAACAAGGAGAAATTCCTTCTATTAGCAGTCATGACCAGTCCATCATTTGGATTGATATATCTGTTAGCTGAATTTCATGACCTAAAGTTAAGACTTAAAACTTCCCTCTAATTGTTTGGAAATTCCATATCCTGTCGCAATTAAGTTACAAGAACTTGCACTCAGTGGACAAACACTGACTCCCACTCTGCACACAGTACTGTACGAAGATGCTGAGGATATAATTATGATCGGTCCTCTGTGCAAGGCATCCAAAGCTCAATTTTTCAAATGCTTTTAAGAGTGCAACAGATGACTGTGTTTATATGTGCACACACATGTGCCAGAGCTGCTTTACTTTCATCTGGGTTAAATTTTTGAGTTTCTAAGAAAAAAATTCGTAGGAATAGAGAATTCATTGACTGAAAGTCTGAAAACAACTGATGTGACCTTGATCTTATTATTGCTCTTCTGTTTAACAGCTTTAGTGGCTCTCATAGGCCAATGTCCAGACTCATTAGCATACTGCATCATGATTTTCTGCATCATCTTTTAAGAGCTCCAGTAAAATGGTTCATTTCCCAGTTTACCTGCAGAGCCTCACCTGTCCTCTCCAGGTGCTAGCCAGTATGTGTTTGCACTTTGGGGGAGTTCTTTTAGTGGGTGTCTCCTTTGACCCACCTCAGTTATAAATACTCTAGACCAATATCTTTTATATGCCCCATAGTGGGCACCTGAAATAGTCCTTGATGCCATCTTTTGTTATCTTATTGGTGTCACAGCAGAAAATATGCGTATGTCTTTTATGCAGGCTGACTTCTGAGAAATTATTGTAGGCATTTGAGTCATCAAAGAAAGCCAGGAACCAAGACATTCTGAAGGAAATACCCTCTGGCTGGTCTAGTCTCACAATAGAGGTGAGCACAGGGACTTTGGTGACTAAAATGCAAGGCAGTTCCTTTCTCTCGTTTTCTCCATCCTAAAGCACTGCTTCTTCATTAGCTCCTCCACCCTCAGCAAAGGAATACAGCCAGGATTTCTTGGAGACAAAAAAGGTAGATCATGTAGCCAAGATGACATGGCCTCATAGCATATATATGACATCATGTGACATGTATCAGTGGGTCTATGAGGAACACTAACAGTACCTGTTATCAGCCCCTCCGTCCTCAATCTTGAAACAATTCGAAGTCGTCACTGATAGAAAACCGTATTGGCTGAGTGCAGTGATTTAAACCCATAATCCCAACACTTTGGGAGGCTGAGAGAAGATAGCTTGAGGCCAGGAGTTTGAGACCAGCCTGGGCAACATAGTGAGATTCCCCCATCTCTATTTTTTAAAAATAATAAATAAATGATTAAAAAAAAAAAAGAATAACCCCAACTATGGCCAGGAGTTTTTCTCATCCTATACCAACTGAAAGAAAAATGTTTGAGGCTGGGCGTGATGGCTCACACCTGTAATGCTAGCATTTTGGGAGGCCGAGGCAGGCGGATCATAAGGTCAGGAGATTGAGACCATCCTGGCTAACATGGTGAAACTCCGTCTCTACTAAAAATACAAAAAATTAGCCAGGTGTGGTGGTGGGCACCTGTAGTCCCAGCTACTCGGGAGGCTGAGGCAGAAGAATGGTGTGAACCCGGGAGGCAGAGCTTGCAGTGAGCCGAGATCATGCCACTGCACTTCAGCCTGGGCAACAGAGTGAGACTCCGTCTCAAAAAAAGAAAGAAAAAAAAGAAAAATGTTTGAGTATATTGCCTCAGTCTCCTATGGCCTATATATAACCTACACCAATAAGTGTGCTGATTTTAAAACCTAACTGGTGTTTCTGGTTAGTTACAATAAATGTTGATGAAATAAGCACTATATGTGGAAACAAGTTCAGAATCATACATTCTTCTCAAAAGTAATTCCTCAATGTAAGTCAGAACAAATCTAGGTGAAACTAAGCAGTGTATGTGAAAACAAGCTCAGAATCACACACTCTTTTCACAAGGAACTTCCCAATGTGAGTTAGTGTACGACTTCAAGCCCTTAACACACCTTCATTTGTTTAGACACAAAAAGTGTTCTGTATCCATCTGGGTGAGTGGAGCTCATCCCTCTGGCTGTAGTCCAAACAAAGATTGCAAGAGCACATAAGGTGCTCAAGTCCCACATCTGATTGCTAGGCTACAAGATTTGGAGCCTATATTTCTTTAGTTATGCAGAGGAGGATTCTGAGCCTGAGATGAGCGGCAGGTAATATCTACTGTGCAGGGTTGCTTAGAGGATCAATGGTAATAATTTAAAAGTATATAGCCAGGCACAGTGGCTCACACCTGTAATCCCATCACTTTGAGAGGCCAAGGCAGGTAGATCAGTTGAGGTCAGGAGTTTTGAGACCAGCCTGGCCAATATGACAAAACCCTGTCTCTACTAAAAATACAAAAATTAGCCAGGCGTGCTGGTGAGCATGACAATCGTTTGAACCCAGGAGGCGGAGGTTGCAGTGAGCCAAGATTGTGCCACTGCATTCCAGCCTGAGTGACAGAGCGAGACTCCATCTCAAATAAATAAATAAATAAATAAAATAAAAAAGTATGTAGAACAAGGCCCAGCATGTAAAATGCTCACATTGTAGCTATTATATTTATCACTCACCTAGCCACTTGGAACCCTCCTTTCTTTCCACTCTTTCCCAAGGGCACCTGGCTTGTGTGGTCCTTAGAGCACTTCCTACCTAAAATAAGGATGGACAGGAGTTTGTCAAGCACAGAGCCTTTATTTTACATTTTCTCAAAGAGGACATTGTTTAAGTGAGCAGCTAACAGAATTTATAAGAGAGAAAGTGACAGCAAAGGTAACTGGCTCAAGTCCCTCTGTGTACGGTACGCCATGTACATTTCATGTCTGAGCACCTTGTGTGTGTGGTTTAAGTGAAGGTAAGGCAGTGTAGATTGTGCGAACAAGAGATCTGTGTTCTGTCATCAGGAAAGGCTACTACATGCATCACACAAAATGCACAACCTGAAATGCTTCAATCTGCAACCGAAGTTTCCTCAAGCAAGAATTCGCATGAACACTGACGAACACATACAGAGCAACTTGGGCAGAGAGAATGGATGATGCCATGAGGCAGTGAGGTTAGCACACTGATCAAGAGCCCCAAAAGCAGGAGCCGTCCCAGTGGCAGAGCAGGCTAGGAGGGTGAGCAGCAGCCATCTCCAGCCACCTTGAGTTCCTTCCTGCCTTCACTCTAAGTTGAGCAGCTCCACGTCAAAGATGAGGGTGGCATTGGGAGGGATGACACCGGGGTGGCCCGTGGCTCCATATGCCACATCAGGGGTGCAGGTCAGCTTCGCCCTCTGCCCCAAGCTCATCTAGCAGGGATGGGGGCAGATGGGGAGAGGAGAAAGAGGACCCAGCTTGATTTAAAAGAAAAAAGTTAGATGACTATGGCATTTTCCCAAACCATCCTCAATGTTAACTCTGAAGATCTCAGATGAATTTTACATGGGATACATTGAAATCGTGCTAACAGCTTTAACAAACGCAGATTCTGCCTCAGCAGAGATGTGACTGTGGGGCAGTAACCCTCACAGAGTGGTCTCAAATTCATGCATCTGACAAACATTACTGGTTATTCAATTTGTGTATGACTGAAACACTTCCATTTGTTCATAGTTCACCCTCTTCCAAAGAATAGGCCTCTTTAGGAAAAGAGGGTGTATGAATAGCACACGTAAATACTCAAGTAGGTGACAGGGGCAGTTATTTAAAGTGGTTTAGAGACTAGAGTCACCAGCAAGGTGGCAAGGGGGACCTATTGTGGCCAACCGTGGTGGCTCACACCTGTAATCCCAGCACTTTTGGGAAGCCAAGGTGGGCAGATCACTTGAGTCCAGAAGTTCAAGACCAGCCTGGCTAATATGGCAAAACCCTGTCTCTACTAAAAAATACAAAAAGTCCGGGCGTGGTGGCTCACACCTGTAATCTCAGCACTTTGGGAGGCCGAGGCAGGTGGATCACCTGAGGTCAGGAGTTCGAGAGCAGCCTGGCAAACATGGTGAGACCCCGTCTGTACTAAAAATACAAAAATTAGCCAGGCGTGATGGTGATGGTGCACACCTGTAATCTCAGCTACTCGGGAGGCTGGGGCAGGAAAATTGCTTGAACCTGGGAGGAGGAGGTTGCAGTGAGCTGAGATTGTGCCACTGCACTCTAGCCTGGGCAACAGAGTGAGACTACGTCTCAAAATAAATAAATAAATAAAAAACAAAAAACAGGCCGGGCACGGTGGCTCGCACCACTTTGGGAGGCTGAGGCGGGCAGATCACGAGGTCAGGAGACCGAGACCATCTTGGCTAACAACGGTGAAACCCCGTCTCTACTAAAAATACAAAAAAATTAGCCGGCCGTGGTGGCGGGCGCCTGTAGTCCCAGCTACTAGGGAGGCTGAGGCAGAAGAATGGCGTGAACCCAGGACGCGGAGCTTGCAGTGAGCCAAGATTGCGCCACTGCAGTCCAGCCTTGGTGACAGAGTGATACTCTTTCTAAAAAAAAACACCAAAAACAAGACCTATCGTAAGGGAGCATCATAGGACTTCACAGACAGACCAAGAAAGAACAGCTTGAACCAGGGCTCATCACAGCAGTTGTTGAGAACCCACTCAGCATTAGTGGGACAATTGGTGAAATTTAAATCTACTTTTGAATTTTGAATAATCAAAAATTTGAATAAGTAAGTAATTTGTATCAGTGTGAATGTCCTGGTTTTGATAATTGTACTATGGTTATGCAAGAAGGGGAAGCTGGATAGAATATAGAAGAACTCTGTACTATTTCTTTAATATTTTTGTAATTCTGAAATTCTTTTCAAAAAAGCGAAAAAACGAAAAATTTTCTTGGCCTACTCCACCCCAACTCTTCCACTACCTCAGTCCCAGGCAACTGGTAGACCTCAGCTAGTTTATTTTTTTGTTTTGTTTTTTTGAGACAGTCTCACTCCATCGCCTGGGCTGGAGTACAGTGGCACAATCTCTGCTCACTGCAACCTTCACCTCCCCGGTTCAAGTAATTCTCCTGTCGCAGCCTCCCAAGTAGCTGGGATTACAGGCATGCACCACCACGCCTGTATTTTCAGCAGGGACGGGGTTACACCATGTTGGTGAGGCTAGTCTTGAACTCCTGGCCTCAACTGATCCACCCCATTCGGCCTCCCAAAGTGCTGGGATTACAGGTGTGAGCCACCGTGCCTGGCTCTCTCAGCTAGTTCTGAGCAAGCCTAGGGGGATGTGCTTGGGATGAGAGCCCCCAGGGACACAAAAGAGGTATGCTGGCAAGGAGAGGGGTGGGGACGCAAAGCCAGGAGGGGACACCAGATGGCGTTGCCATGCCCTGGCTGTAGAGTCAAAGCAGTAGTGGTCTGTGAGTGGGTGAAGGTGGAGGTGGAGGGCAGAGTGCTGATCCCAGATCCCCAACTCCCCAGATCCCCTTTAATGCGAATCCTCATCCTACCTGGGCTGCACCCTCTTCAAAACCTTTGATGACTTCCTGTTTGCCAATTCTGAACTTGAAAGGTTTGTTTCTGTCTCTGGATGAATCAAACTTCTTCCCATTTTGGAGCATTCCTGTCAAAGCAAGAATCGGGTGCAATAGAGCTGTGGTCATGAGTAAACTCCCAATTCAGATTCCACATGTCTAAAATGGAATGCCTTTTCTGCACACACCTGCTCCTCTTCCGATCCTCCCCATCCATCCTGTTGCCCAAGCAGGAAATCTGGACACTTCCTTCTGCCTCACCCCCACATACTGCCTATCACTAAGTCCTCCATATCTTTGGAATCCACCTATTTTCTTCATTTCTATTTTTATTTATTTATTTATTTATTTGAGACAGAATCTCAATTTGTCACCCAGGCTGGAGTGCAGTGGCACAATCTCGGCTCACTGCAACCTCCATCTCCTGGGTTCAATCGATTCTTCTGCCTCAGCCTCCCAGGTAGCTGGCATTACAGGCGCCCACCACCACACTCAGCTGATTTTTGTATTTTTAGTAGAAACAGGGTTTTGCCATATTGGCTAGGCTGGTCTTGAACTCCTGAACTGCAGGTGATCCACCCACCTTGGCCTCCCAAAGTGCTGGGATTACAAGCATGAGCCACTGTGCCTGGCCTTTTCTTTGTTTCTATTACCACGACCAAGTCACCAGCTTATCTCACCTGTACACAGGAACAACCTCCTAACTGGTCTTTTTGATCCTCTTTTACTCGCCTCCATTTCATTGTCCACTTGGCATCCAGACTGATTTTTTTTTTTCTTTAAACACAAATCTGATTCTATTACTCCCCTGCTCAAAATACTTCAATAGCTCCCCAGAGCAGAATCCAAATGCCTACCTTGCATACAGGCACTTCACAATCCGGCTCTGGCCTGCTTATAACCCTCTCTGTTCTCCCCTTCCTTCCCTTCCCTCTGTGTCCTTTTCAGGTCATACCTTTCTCAAATTCCTCTGCACTTTTCAACTTTTTTTTTTTTTTTTTTTTTTTTGAGTCGGAGTCTCCCTCTGTTGCCCAGGCTGGAGTGCAGTGGTGTGATCTCGGTTCACTGCAACCTCCGCCTCCCGGGTTCAAGGGATTCTCCTGCCTCAGCTTCCTGAGTAGCTGGGACTACAGGTACCTGCCACTATGCCTGCTAATTTTTTTATATTTTTAGTAGAGATGGGGTTTTGCTATGTTGGCCAGGCTGGTCTCGAACTCCTGACCTCAGGTGATCTGCCCACCTCAGCCTCCCAAAGTGCTGGGATTACAGGTGTGAGCTATCATGCCCAGCCAGACTTTTCAACTTTTTTATGCCACTTCCTCCACCTAAAGTTCTGTTTTCCCAGCTATTCCAGCCTCAGGTTGAGTCCTCGCATAAGGTTCCTAAGGTTTCCTAAGTTTCCCCCAAAAGGGAAAACCCAAAGGTTACATTATCCCCTACTGTAGGGAACAGTGTAAGGTGACCTAGCTGGTCAGAGGTGGCCTCCAGACTCTGTACTAAGAGGGCTGTTTGAAACCAGAACCCCCCCCCAGGTGCTGGTCCAGCAGTTCTGGTTCCCCCAGCCTCTGCTTCAGAAGCCTTGTCATCCTGATGTCCACATGTCATCTCAGTCCAGCAGCCCAAGGCCCAACAGCTATTCTCAATTCTTCTGTGACTCTGACTCAAAGATCAGACCTTCTGTAAATGATGCAGTTCCACGACTGCTCCCGGCAGTCCCTGGACCACCACAAAAGGCCATTTGGGACTAGAAAAAGACCTTGCTTGTACATCCAGAGACTGGGTTTTGACTTCACTCTGGCTCTAACTCATTGTGTGAGACTGGGCAAATCACTTCCTCTCCCAGGGCCTCAGATGTGTCATATTTAACATAGGAAGCAGGGCCAGCTTAGTGTAGGAGCATCTATGATGCTACTTCCTAATTCCTACAACTAAAATATATATTAGAGAAACAGTCTTATTTAACTACTTTCTGAGTAGAATACATTAAGCTTTTGCCCTGGGTACTAACTGAGGCAAAGAAGAAAACCCTTCTGGCTACACAGAGGTACATGCAGATGGATGCTAACAAGATCAAATACAATCGCATGCATTTGCTAAGGTTGCTAAGATATTCAAATACACAAAGATACTTGTGCATGCTCACATGCACTTATGCACTCACACTCAGGAGAAAAGCCCTGGTGGCCAAATAGATGCTAAGAAAATATTTACATACACAGATCTACATACATTCACACAGATACATACTTGTACAAATATGCACACAGATATGCAAACACACATGCACACATTCACACACTCCATTTATATACCGACTTTCCTTTCTCATTCCTTAGTTTCTTCAGGTTTCATGTGACTTAATCTACTTTGGATAAATAACTTCATTTATCTATTGCTACAAGTTAAGCCAAAACCATGCAGTCTAGAAACAGACCCACTTACATGGTGATTTGATTGGACAAAGATACCACTGCAATGCAGCAAATAAAGGTTTTTTTTTCTTGCATTAAGGTTGTTGAGTCAACAGTATATTCATATGGGGAAAAAATGAACTTTAACCCCTACCAAATCCACACACAAAAAAATCAATTCCAGATGAATCATAAACCTAAATATGAAAGATAGAATAATAAAGCTTCTACAAGATAACAAATAGAAGGATATCTTCATGACCTAGAGACAATTTTTTTTTTTTTTTTCCTGAGACAGAGTCTCATCTCTGTCACCCAGGCTGGAGTGCAGCGGCTCAATCTCAGCTCACTGCAACCTCCGCCTCCTGGGTTGTTCAAGTAATTCTCCTGTCTCAGCCTCCCGAGTAGCTGGGATTACAGGCATGCACCACCATGCCTGGCTAATTTTTGTATTTTTAGTAGAGACAGGGTTTCACCATGTTGGCAAGGCTGGTCTCGAACTCCTGACCTCAGGTGATCCACCTGCCTTGGCCTCCCAAAGTGCTGGGATTATAGGCAGGAGCCACCGCACCTGGCCTGACAGACAAAGATTTCTTAAACTGAACACAGAAAGCACTAACCATAAAGGGAAAGATTGATAAGTCAGACTTCATCAAAATTAGGAACTTCTGTTCAGGCCAGGTACAGTGGCTCACACCTGTAATACTAGCACTTTGGGAGGCCAAGGTAGGAGGATCACTTGAGCCCAGGAGTTTGAGACCATCCTGGGCAACATAGGGAGACCTTCCTCTCTACAGAAAAACTAAAAATTAGCCAGGTGGCCGGGCCCGGTGGCTCACGCCTGTAATCCCAGCACTTTGGGAGGCCGAGGCGAGCAGATCACCTGAGGTAGGGAGTTCGAGACCAGCCTGACCAACATGGAGAAACCCAGTCTCTACTAAAAATACAAAATTGTCCAGGCGTGGTGGCGCATGCCTGAAATCCCAGCTACTCGGAAGACTGAGGCAGGAGAATTGCTTGAACCTGGGAGGCAGAGGTTGTGGTGAGCTGAAATCGTGCCATTGCACTCCAGCCTGGGCAACGATAGCAAAACTCCATCACACACACACAAAAAAAAACCAAAAAAAAATTAGCCAGGCATGGTAGCATGTTCCTGTACTCCCAGCTACTTGGGAGGCTGACATGGGAGGAGTCCTTGAACCCAGGAGGTCAAGGCTGCAGTGAGCCATGATCCCTGAAGACTAGAGCCACTGAACTCCAGCCTGGGTAACAGAGTGAGATCCTATCTCAAAAATAAAAAAGAAAGAAAAAAATTTTAAAAAGAAAGAAAAGAAGAAAATATAAACTATAAAAAAAGAACTTCTGTTCAAAATATACTATTAAGAGAGTAAAAAGGCAAGCCATAGTGTGGGAGAAGATGTTTGGGATAGATATAACCAACAAAAGACTCATATCCAAAACATATACAAAACTCCTATAAATCAACAAGAAAAAGACAACCGGCCGGGCACCATGGCTTACACCTGTAATCCCAGTACTCTGGGAGGCCGAGGCAGGTGGATCACCTGAGGTCAGGAGTTTGAGACCAGCCTGGCCAACATGGCGAAACCCTGTCTCTACTAAAAACCTCAAAATTAGCCGGGCACGGTGGCACACACCTGTAATCCCAGCTACTCAGGAGGCTGAGGCAGGAGAATCACTTGAACCCGGGAAGTGTAGGTTGCAGGGAGTGAAGATTGCGCCATTGCACTCCAGCCTGAGCAACAAGAGTGAAACTCTGTCTCAAAAAAAGAAAAAGAAAAAGACAACCTAATTTTCTAAAATGGACAAAATTAGAGCAGTCTAAAGAGGATATCCAAATGGCCAGTAGGCACATGAAAAGGTGCTCAACTTCATTCATCATCAGGGAAACACAAATCAAAACCACAGTGACCAGCCTGGCCAACATGGTGAAATCCCATCTCTACAAAAAATACAAAAATTAGCTGGGTGTGGTGGTGCGCACCTGTAATCCCAGCTACTTGGGAGGTTGAGGCACAAGAATCGCTTGAACCCAGGAGGCGGGGTTGCAGTGAGCCAAGATCGCACCACTGCACTCCAGCCTTGGCAACAGAGTGAGACCTTGTCTCAAAAAAAAAAAACAAAAAAACCCACAATGAAATGGTACTGAACGCTCACCAGAGTAGGCCAAAACCAAAACAAAGCCTGGTGTGGTGGCTCATTCCTGTAATCCCAGCACTTTGAGAGGCCGAGGCAGGCAGATCACCTGAGGTCAGGAGTTTGAGATCAGCCTGGCCAATATGGTGAAACACCGTCTCTACTAGAAACACAAAAATTAGCCAGGCATGGTGGCGGGCGCCTGTAATCCCAGCTACTCGGGAGGCTAAGGCAGGAGAATCGCTTGAACCCAGGAGGCAGAGGTTGCAGTGAGCCAAGATCATGCCATTTCTCTCCAGCCTGGGCAACATAGACTCTGTCTCAAAAAAAGAAAAAACAAAACAAAACCAAAACCTGACAATAACAAGTGTTGGGGAGGACACAGGGTAACTGGCAGTCTCCTACACAGCTGCCTAGAGTGGAAACTGGCACAACGACTTTGGAAAGCTGTCAGACAGTACTGCTAACGCTGAGCCCAGGAGGTACCCCACTTCCAGGTATATACCCAACAGAAACATGCACATATGTCTGTACACATGTACACTAAGAGATGCCTGCAAGACTGATCAAAGTGACACTGTTTGTAATAAACAAAAACTATGAACAACCCAAATGTTCATCAACGGTAGAGAGGATACATAAATTGCAACATACTTGTACGTTAAAATACTGTAGAGGAATAAACCATTCTGGATATATCTCGCAGACATAATAGTGAGTGAAATAAGCCAAACACAAAAGAGTACCTACGCTGTGGTTCCATTAAGATGAAGTTCAAAAATAGGCAAAACCAATCCATGGAGACAAAAGTCAGAGTAATAGTTGCCAGCCAGGCACAGTGGCTCACACCTGTAATCCCAGCACTAGGAGGCCAAGGTGGAAGGATCACTTGCATACAGGCGTTCGAGACCAGCCCGGGCAACATAGTGAGACCCTCATCTCTACAAAAAATTAAAATTAGCCAGGCATGGTGGCTCATGTCTGTGGTCCCAGCTAGTCAGGACACTGAAGCAGGAGGGTCACTTGAGCCCGAGAGGTCGAGGCTGCAATGAGCTGTGATCACCACTGCACTCAGCCTGAGTCACAGAGTGAGACCCTGTCTCAAAACAACAACAACAATGACAAAAAAAAAAAAAAAAAGAAAAACAATGATAGCTACCTCTAGGGAGGTGAAATGACTGGGAGAAGGCATCAGGGGGACTTTTGGGGATGCTGGTTCTATGCTTGTATGTTCTATGCTTCTCTAGGTGGTAGTCACATAAATGTGATCACTTTGAAAAAATTCATTGACCTAGACATCTTACATTATGTTCTCTACTATATTTATATTTAACTTTAAAGTTTACCAAAAGTCCCATAGTCTCCCGCTATGTTTGATAAGACATAGTCTCTCCCAAGACAGGAGCTGCTGCCCTATGTATGTATTGTGAAAGGACTTTGCAAAAGGATGTTGTGGTTTCAGTAACTTGATAAATACTGGTCTGTCTACAACATGCAAAATTGTTAAATCAATTACACAGGTCAGAGGCCCCAGACGACCCATGGTAATTAGGCCACATCACCAGGAGATAAAACATGGTCCAGCCCACTGACATCAGCGACCAGCAACACAACTGCTGAAAACATCCACACCATCTGCCTAGAATTAACCTTGTGCTTCACACTGGCCCACAGAACTGCTAAAAATGGCCCCATCCGAGTATGTCCTAGGAATTAACCTGGGCTTGCTGTCTGCTAAGTGGCTGTCATCGAGTTTGCCACTTTAGGAAGCAGGTCACAAGGCAGGGTGCTCACCTCCCTTGGAACAAACACCTGCTCATGATCTTCCTGCCAGCAGTCCTGAAGAACTCACTCTACCTCGCCTGCAGATAAAGAGCATCCAACTGGGATCAGTCCCGCTCTGGGCTCCCTCAGTACCCAGAGAAAAGCACTGCCATCACCCCACCCCTCAAATGGCATCGGAGCCTCTGGGTGACTTGTCTGTCCTCTCCCCTCCTCTTCTTCTCTAATGATACTGCAGGATGGAGAGAAAGTCTGCGGGGAGCTCTAGGAGGGATTTCCAAATATCAGACAGACCCAGCAGGGACAGGGGCTCCACCATACCTGCAACAGAAGGAAGGGGACTGAAGGTGTTTGACTCACCTAGAAGCTGGCACCATGGATGGCCCTTGCTGGTAGAAGAGGGAAAGAGTTGGCCTTCCAAGCCTCCTTTATCATTCCCACTAGACTGGCTGGGAGGAGTAGAGGATGGCTGGTCACAGGGAGACCCTGCTGCCTTGGGCTTTAGCCCTGATCCAGAGGCAGGCACCTCTGGAGAGAAGCTCAGAGGACAGCCCTGCCTTGGGAGGGGAAGGACTGGGTGGGGGCTGAGGGGGTGAGACTTACCTGTGTAGTGCACCACACACGTTTGGCCCTTCTTGGGGAATGTCCTTCCTGCAGGGAGACATGAGGGCAGATGAAGGAGTAGGATATTGGAAAAACACCTGGGACATTAAGTATGATCCTGACCAAGAGCTCCAGCCTGCATTCCCCTCCATGCCATGGAGATGCCTGTGGCCCTAGTTCTGGCTCTGGGCCCTGTACGAGCCAGAATGAATCACGTCACCTCTCTGGCCTGGATTTACTTTACCCCCTCAATTTTCTCAATTCTGCTGTCTCCTGGGCTTTCCCACCACCCCACCCCCACTTTCTTTGATTGCCCCTTTTACTTCACATCATCCATTCCACAGACATTTACAGTTGGCCTCCTATGTGCCAGGCCTGGACCAGACTTCAGACATGCAGAGCAATGTATGAACTCATGAGGAAGGTAGGGAAACAGACACACAAATACCAGATTACAATGCAGATTATAATCCATCCATCAAAGATGAATAAACACAATAATTTACAAATATTTGCTGAGAGGCCAGGCATGGTGGCTCACATCTGTAATCTCAGCACTTTGGGAGGCTGAGGTGGGAGGATCACTTGAGCTCAGGAGTTCTAGATCACCCTGGGTAACATAGGGAGACCCCATCTCTAAAAAAAAAAAAAAAAAAAAAAAATCTTTTCAATTAGCTGGGTGTGGTGCCGCATACCTATAGTCCCAGCTACTGAAGAAGCTGAAGTGGAAGGATTGTTTGAGCCCAGGAGGTCAAGGCTGCAGTGAGCTGTGTTCATGCTACTGCACTCTACCCTGGGTGACAGAGCAAGACCCTGTCACAATAAACAAACAGACAAAACAAAACAAAACAAAACCACAAATATTTACTGAGTACCTATGGTGTGCCAAGCCTGTGCCTGATCACAGGGATACAGCAGTGAACACTACAAACAAGATCTCTATCCCTGTTCTTTTAGAGTTTACTTTTTTTTTTTAAGAGTAGGGGTCTCAGTGTGTCACCCAGGCTGGAGTGCAACAGCATGATCTCGGCTCTGTGCAGCCTTGACCTTTCCTGGGCTCAAGCAATCTTTCTTCCTCTGCCTTCTGAGTAGCTAGTACTGCAAGTGCATGCTGCCATGCCCAGCTAATTTTTTTAAAAAAAATTTGTAGAGACAGGGTCTTAACATGTTGTCCAGGTTGGCCTTGAACTCCTGAGCTCAAGAGATTCTCCCACCTCAACCTCCCAAAGTGCTGAGATTATAGGCATGAGCCACCAAACCCGCCCTGGAGTTTATATTCTAATGGACAGAGACAATACTTAAATATACAAAATGATTATGGATTATGATGAATACTCTAAAGAAAATACACACAATGATGTATTAAAGGGAGATGCAGTGGGACAGGCCATTTCAGACAGAGTGGTCCAGGATGGCCTCTTGGAGAAGGTGCCCCCTGGAGCTGGGACTTGAAGGATGAGCAAAATACTGGGAAATAGCACTTGGGAAAGGAGTAACAAGTGCACAGAATCAACACATTTGCAGTGAGCAAGGAGGCTAGGTGCTGGAAAGAAGGGAGGGAGGAGAGAGGTGGGAAGGACATGGATCATGCAGGGCTTGAAGAGCCGGATTTAATACTAAGTGCAATAGGAAACCACTGGAGGGTTTTAAGCCAGAGAATGACATAATCTGAATTAAGATTTTATAACATCACTCTGGCTGCTATGTGTAGGATGGACGGTTAGGCGTCTGTTGCAATAATCCAGACAAGAAATCAATGATAGCTTGATTTAAGGTGGTGGCAGCAGAGAAGAGAGTGAAAGATTGGAGACATATTTTCGAAGCGGAGCTGACAGGTCATGCAATCAGACTGGAAATGGGGTCCAGGATGAGGACAAAGGAGACAACAAGAACGATGCTTGGGTTTTCTGTTTGGGCAACTGGATGAATAGTGCAACTATTTCCTGAGATAGGGAAGACGGGAGGAACAGATTTGTGCGGGTGGCAATCTTGAGATGCCTATTAGACATCTGAGTTTATATTGCAAGTAGGCAGATGAAGAGTCTGCACTGGAGGTATAAATTTGGCTGGAATTTAAAGCTACGGGGCTGGATACAAAGCCTAAGGAAGCCTAACCACAGAGCCGATATTTAGAGGACTCTATGGGATCCTGGAGGAGGGAGCAGCTAACTGACCACAGAAGTCAAGGAAAACATCATAGAGGAGAGAATGGTGAAGCCAGGTCTTGAAAGACAAGTAAGAGTTTGCCAGAGGAAGTGAAAAAACACCATCTGGGAAGAGGGAACAACATGTAACATGTTCAAAGGCCCTCAGTCCAGCAATAGCGGGAACCCTGTCTGTTTCAACTGTGTCACCTTAGGGCCTAGCACACACGTTCAATAAATATTTGCTGAACGAGTGGTGTGTTTGACAACTTGCAGGCAGCTTGGGAAAGCTGGAGGAAAAAGTTAGTGGTGGGCTTAGGACAGGTGGTGAGAGATGAAGCTCTAGTGTGGAAGATGAGAATAGACCATAGCACCAAAGGCCCCTCCTGGGGGAGAGGGAAGAATCATTAAAACATCTTCTGCCTGAGGGAGGGGCATAGTCAAACATGCATTTTTTTTCTTTTTTTTTTTTGAGATAGAGTCTTGCTCTGTCACCCAGGCTGGAGTGCAATGGCACAATCTCAGCTCACTGCAACCTCTGGCTCCCAGGGTCAAGTGATTCTCCTGCCCCAGCCTCCCGAGTAGCTGGGATTACAGGTGCGTACCACCATGCCCAGCTAATTTTTGTATTTTTAGTAGAGACGGGGTTTCAACATGTTGGTCAGGCTGGTCTCGAACTCCTGACCTTGTGATCCGCCCGCCTCAGCCTCCCAAAGTGCTGGGATTACAGGCGTGAGCCACTGCATTTTAAGAAGAGTCTTCAGGCTATGATATAGAAAGGGAGTGAATATGAGATTGGGGACGAGATTGAAAGCAGGGAGGAGAGACTGAAGATGGGGAGATTAGCTCAGGGGCTGCTGAGGGATGAAAAGGCCTCAGGGAGATGCTTTCTGGGACCCAGCAGCAATGTTTCCTGCGTGGGCAAAGAAGCCTGTACTCCAGGGGATATCTGAAGTAGTGGCTGGGATTGGACAAGGAAGATGGCCTGGAGCCAAGAAGTTATCCAATTTCCTGGGGAGGGGAGCTGTTCATATTAATAATATCTGATATGAAGTTTGCCCATCAAACCCTGCAGACAATGGGGGCTTTGGTATTAATTAAATTTCAAGAAATAAAGAAATGGCTATTCCTTGCACACCCAGACCCAGTAATACAAGGACTTGGGAAAGTGAGACACGGAAGGGGGATAAAGAGGATCACTTAGGAGAGAAGGTGGGAAGCGAGAGTTCTGTTTTGGACTTGCTGACCAGGGAGCACCCTGGGACGTCCAGGGAGAGGTTCGGCCGTAGGTCGCAGGGCTGGGCTTAGAAGCTTCAATGTGGAGGCCATGGGAGTGGACAGGGTGGCCAGGGAGTCTGAAAGCGGCGGCAGGATAAAGCGAGATCCGGAAGCGGGCAAGGGAGCGCTTCCCCCTTCCCCAGCCTGGGTCTGTCCCCACAGCCGCTCACAGCCCGGCCCGCAGGGAAGCGACCGAGGGGAGGCCCGGCGGGGGACGCGCTAGGAGGAGGTCCCCGAGCAGCGGGTATCCGAGAGCAGGTCCTGCTTTCCAGAGCTCGCCGAGTAGGGCAGGGAAAGCGAAGCCGAAACCCAGGCTGGGGTATCAGCAGCAGCGGATAACCGAACGACTGCAGCCGCGACAGGAGAAGCCCGGGGCGGTGGCGGGCCGCAGACCCCCGCCTCCGGGCCGCAGACCCCCGCCTCCGAGCTGCCGCCTACATTCCCCTAGGTGAGCGCGGAAGAGGATGGCGGAGGATGGTCTCCTAGACCCCCAAGAATCCCGTCCGGCGTCTCCGCCTGCCTTCCCCATCCAGCCCCCCGACCCTTCAGCACCCTCCACGCCACCTCCGAATCAGACCCCCGCCCTCCGGGCTCCGCCCCGGGACCCCTCCCCTCCCCTGGCTCCGGAGGGAGCCCGGTACCGTCTCCGGGGGAGATGGTCTCGATCTCCACGCCCATAGCGGTCCCACAGGCCCCGCCTCTGGGGGGTCCCTGCTGCTGCCCGACCCCGGCTCGGCTCCGGCCCCAGCCCCGCCGTCGCTCCGGCTCGCCTCCTCGCCGCCACTGCAGAGCCGGAGGAGGTGCGGCTGGAGTCGGGACCTGCGCGGGGAGGGGCCACTGGCAAGGGGGCGGCGGGGCGGAGCCGCGCGGAAAGGTGGGGTCGGCCGGGGCGGGGCCCGGGGGAAGGGACCCCGCCCGGCTGTTAGCGAGCCTGGCCCCGCCTGACGACATTAACCCACTGACCAGGGAGCGTGGTAAGCACAACCACATCCTCCATCCATCCATTCATTCGCGCATCCGTCCAATAGACATTTATTTAGCATCTAATCTGTAGTAAGCTCTGGGAAGTCAACCCAGTCCTACAGACTTGTGGGGGGTGGGGGGCAGAAGGGGCAAAGGCCGGCGATTAAACCATCATTTTATTTTTATTTTTATTTTAGACAGAGGATCTTGCTCTGTCGCCCAGGCTGGAGTCCAGTGGCGCGATCATAGCTCACAGCAACCTCGAACTCTTAGGCTCAAGCGATCCTTCTTCCTCAGCCTCCACCCAAGTAGCTGGGACTAGAGGCGCGAGCAACCACGCCCAGCTAATCTTTTATTTTTTATTTTTATTTTTTGTAGAAACGGGGTCTCGCTGTGTTGCTATCTAATGAAACCATCACTTTAATTAGATGCGCTCAGTGCCGTGCAGTTCAGAGCGTTGCGGAAGCACAGAAGAGGTTCCTACCCTCGCTAGGCGTCCTGGATCTGTAGGAGCAGAGCTGGGGGAGGGAGGGAGGACACCAGTAATTGCTGACTCTCCCCCATACCCCTAAACCCCTGTTCTCCATCTCGTGTAGTTCTGCTCGACGCACATTTATTGGGTACTCAATTTTCAAGGCAAAGAAATGCGCCCTGGGGATACCAATAGAATTAAGACAGGTTGGCTGTCTTCCAGGTACTAAGTCTGAGAGGGACGGGGACACACAGTTACTGCATGGAGTGATTAGTGCTGTGGAATGAATGAATGAATATGTAAATGAATTCTACTTTGAGTTCCTCCTCCACCAAAAAATACATTCAGGAATCTAGAAAAATATTTTTTGGAGGAGGTAATATTTGTTTAAAGGGTAATTGGGACTTTTAAAATTTTTTCCCCCTCATTATTACCTGCATTGTTCCAAAAATTGATGTGAGGCCAAGTATATCAATTTTTGGAACAATGGCTCACACCTGTAATCTCAACACTGTAGGAGACCGAGGCAGGAGGATTGCTTGAGCCTAGAAGTTCAAGACCAGCCTGGGTAACATAGCGAGATCCCGTCTCTCTCTCTCTCCTTTTTTTTTTTTTTTTTTTTGAGACAGAATCTTCACTCTGTCGCCAGGATGGAGTGCAGTGGCACAATCTCGGCTCACTGCAACCTCCGCCTCCCAGGTTCAAGCGATTCTCGTGCCTCAGTCTCCCAAGTAGCTGGGATTACAGGCGTGAGACACCAGCGTTCGGCTAATTTTTAAATTTTTAGTAGAGACAGGGTTTCACCATGTTGGCCAGGCTGGTCTCGAACTCCCGACCTCAGGTTATCCGCCCGCCTCAGCCTCCCAAAGTGCTGGGATTACAGGCATGCCATCTTTATTTTTAAAAAAAGAAAAGAAAAGAAAAAGAAAAACATAAAAACTGATGTGAAGATATGATTCTCCTGAGTGGCACTGGAAGATAGGCATGGGGAGAAAAGCCTGGCAAACTGGTCCAGAATGAGCCCCAAGGGTGTTCTTCCTCCATTTCCTCATCCCCACTCTCCCGGATGCTTAGGTCCCAGATGAGGTTGTCTGCATCCCTGAAGGTGTTCTGGCTGTGTTGTTAAAGAAAGATGATTGTCGACTGTACTGTGAGGGTCAGGACCTGGAATTCCTCATAGGTCTGAAGAAGCCTAAGGGACGCACTAAATCCATAGGCTGCGGCCAGAGCAGGCACGCTTAGGGTCGGGGTAGAACAGGGATTTGTAGCTGGGACAGGCCCATGCAGCGGCTTCAGCTCAATGCACAGTATTTTGTGTACAGATAAGAACATTTTCCTGAGAGATTTTATCAGATTTTAAAGAAGGTTAAAAAGCCGTGGTGATCCTAGGGCTCCTGGACTCCTTAGACAAGAGAACCGACGAGAAGTGGGGAAAGAGCTCAAGTGCTTAAGGGAGGGAAAATGTGGCGGGCTTGCGGTCGGTGGTTTTACGGGGACTACCACTCCCAGCGATCCGTGCGGCAGAGCCAGAGCTTATTGGCCAGTGGGACGAACCCTCTGCTAATGTGCATATTCAAAAGCCAATAGACGGGGCCATCTCGGAGCGTGCCTATCCTATCAGAGGACCACCCACCTATCAGAGGACCGATATCACCGCCCACCTATCAGAGGACTGAGGGCCGGTGCTTCCGGTGGCTGCCCAGAACTTCTTATGTGCGGCGGCGTGATGTTGGGCGGCCACAGAGAGATTGGTGTTTTTGTGAGGCAGTGAGACCTAAGGTATTTCATCTCCACTGCTGCCGGGCCTGGCGGGTGTGGGGAGGCTGTAGGGGGTCAGGAGGGAAGTGGATCGGCTCTTGGTGGGTAGGGGGCGGGAAGGAGGAGATTCAGGCGTGCAGAGAGGATGAGGAGAATGGGGCGGGCCGCGTGTGAGGGGTCGCGGGATGAGGATCGAGCTAGGGGTGGGTGTAAATGAGGGATTATGACCGTGACTCGTGAATAACACTCCTGGGAATATGTCCCAAGGAAGTCATCCAAAGTCAGGAAATGCTTTAAGCCTTAAGACCTCGGTCCGAGCTTTATTTATAGCGGGTAGCGGGATAAAGTTGGGTACAGCTAGGAGCAGTTCAGTACATTATGTCACTTCACTGAGTGTATGTGAAGTGGCCTCTAAAACTAATTTATTAAACTTTTAAATAACATAGGGAAATGCTAATATATAATGTTAGATGAAAACCGTGATACAAAGTTGCACAGTATAACTGAAAAAGTTTGACAGCCAAACTATGCATAGAAGAGTCTAGAGGGATTAGTCATAATTTTCTTTGGATGAATGTTTTTTCGTTAACTCTTCTTAATTTTTTTCTTGTGTATGATTTTTGTTTCCAAATAAGTGTAAAGAACTTGAAATCATTTTATAGTGGAAATACAATAAACTTGGAAAACAAGTTGGGGGAGGGATGTACTTTTGTTTAAACCTGCTGGAAATGCCAGTTCACCTGAATCCCTTGATTCTCGTCATGAGTTGTCTTTAAAGAAGATGAAAAACAGAATTAAATGGTTATATACTGAGCACCGGCTCTTAGTTTTCTGACCACCTCTCCGGAGACCTGAACTAATACAGTGGTCTTTTCCCTCCTAAAACACCCAGGGTTCTTGATTTCATGTTCTCCAAAAAACTTATACTCTGGAGATTGTGAAACAATAGGTATACAATTAGTTTCAGGCAAAATCAGTAGCGTTGGGGAATGCCTGAAGAGCATTTAAACCTTGGTCCTCCTGGCCCTCTGATCTTATACAGTGAGGTTCTCCACTACCTTGACTTTAATGATTAACCCTATGTCAGTGATTTCCAAATCCTTACCTCTGACTGCCTAAGGTACATTGGTACCATGTAGACATCTTACATGAAGCACATGTTAATTTCAATTTGTCACATACTACACACGTTCCTCCCCTACTGCCCCCACCCCCACCTCCCCAACAGGGTCTCACTCTGTCACCCAGGCTGGAATGCAGTGGTGTGATCATAGCTTACTGTAACCTTGAACTCCTGAGCTCAAATCCTCTCAGCCTCCATAGTAACTAGGACTGCAGGTGTGGGACGCTGCACCCAGCTAATTTTTATTTTTATTTTTATTATTTTTTATTTTCCTTTTTTATGGAACGCTTCACAAATTTGCAAGTCATCCCTGTGCAGGGGCCATGCTACGCTCTGTATCATTTCAGTCTTAGTATATGTGCTGCCAAAGTGAGCACCCACCTCATTTTTAAAAATTTTTCTGTAGAATTGGGGTCTCCCTGTGTTGCCTAGGCTGGTCTTGAAATACTGGCATCAAGTGATCCTCCCACCTCAGCCTCCCAAAGTGCTGGGATTACAGGTGTTAGCCACTGTGCCTGCCCTTCCTTTCCTTTCTTCCTTCCCTCCCCCTCCCCCTTCCTTCCTTCCTTCCTTCCTTCCTCTCTCTCTCTCTTTTTTTTTTTTTTTTTTTTGAGATGGAGTCTTGCTCTGTCACCCAGGCTGGAGTGCAGTGGCGCAAACTCGGCTCACTGCAACCTCCGCCAGCCGGGTTCAAGCGATTCTCCTGCTGCAGCCTCCCAAGTAGCTGGAACTACAGGCACACACCACCACGCCCAGCTAATATTGTATTTTTAGTAGAGACAGGGTTTCACCATGTTGGCCAGGGTGGTGTCGAACTCCTGACCTCAGATGATCCACCTGCCTCAGCCTCCCAAAGTGCTGGGATTACAGGCATGAGGCACCACACCCAGCCTGCCCTGCCTTCCTTGCCTTTGAAACATGCTCTGGTTAATGGTTCAGCAGTTTCTCAAGCTAAAAATCTGGGTGTTATCCTTAATTCTTTTTTCCTCCTCACTACTTATATCCTATCGATATCACTGTCTATTCCATCTGCCTTAAAAGCATCTCTTGAATATGGCCTTCTTTCTCTACTGAAATAGTTGCAAACTTGCTTCATTTTCACTTTGTGGCATTCAAATTACTTGTCAACTTTCTTCCTTCTCAGGTCCATTCTGCATATTGTTACTTGAATATATGCTGGTTCCCCCAAGATTCCAAATTCCTCAGCATGCCCTTTATGATCAGAGAATAAACTTAGAAAGATATATCAATATCTGATAATATAAGGTTTTAATTGCCTTGTTAAGACATTTTGAGGCTTTTTATATACTGTAGATGTGGGGATTCATCAAGGGTGTTTATGCAGAAGAGCAAAATGATCACCGCTGTGCTTTTTTTTTTTTTTTTTTTTTTTTAAAGATAATTCTGCCCAACAACACATAGTATGCAGGCTCATTTGGAAAGTAGAGACTGGTATCAAGGGGACCTCTCCTTGTTTTACCCTAATAAAAAGGGAGAAGTCAGAACCTGGGCTAACACAGGAGTAGAAAGGAATGGAGCAGATTTTTGTAATTATCACTGCGTTTTTGAGAAAAATGTGCCACATTTCTTCTTGTTACCGAAGATGACAATATTAAAATTCATTCTTCTAAAAACCTCAGTAAACTGGCCCATGCAGTGGCTCACGCCTGTAATCCTAGCACTTTGGGAGGCCAAGGCAGGAGGATCACTTGAGGTCAGGAGTTCAAGACCAGCCTGGCCAACATGGTGAAACCCAGTCTCTACTAAAAATATAAAAATTAGCTGGGCATGGTGGTGGGCCCCTATCCCAGTTCCTTGGGAGGCTGAGGCACAAGAATCACTTGAACCCAGGAAGCAGAGGTTGCAGTGAGCCCAGATCATGCCACTGCACTCCAGCCTGGGTAACGGAGCAAGACTGTGCCCCCACGCCCCCCCCAAAAAAAAACCTCAGTAAACTTATGTTTGTTTTTCTCTTATTCCCAAATCCTTGTCTTGTGCTACCCTGGCCACACACACCCTCATTGACATTAGACAGAATTTGGTATCCTAAAATATATAAATCGACTTGGATGTAATTGGCCCATTAGGAATTTTCTCTGCCCATGAAAGTGTATCATGGCATTATTTATCAATAAAATTCTTTTTAAAGTACATAAGTAGATATTAGGGAGAAAACATTATTATCTTTCATAAGACCAGTGGGACAGAGATCACAGTTTTCTTCATTAGTAATGACTGGACTTTTTTCTCCGTTTAGCAAGCCGCTGCAGAACCACTGAATCTGACATCATATATAAAAGCATAATAGACCCTTTTTTTTTTTAAGTGAAAGATCCTAAGAGCAAGGACAAAGCTAGCAAGGAGATATGCGAAATAATTTACAGATAAGCAAATCACCAGGTTGGTAGAGAATACATTTCATTGGATTTAGAGTCTGAAGACAACTTCTCAAGTTCTGCCTTTGACACTTACTCAGTAAAACAAGGCTGAAAAATGTCATTTAGATTCAGTGACAGGGAAGCACTGGTGGCCTGGTGAGAGATGTTTTGGAGAAGAAATTGGAATGGAATTCATTTTAAGTATATTAAGAAGAGAGTGAGTGGTGAAAAATATGAGTACTGCCAGTTTACACAACTATTTGATAACTAATAAGGTTAAACATCACTTTATATATGTTTGTAGATTGTTGGGGGGTTTTTTGTTTTGTTTTGTTTTGTTTTAAGTAGAGACAGTATCTTGCTGTGTTGTCCAGGCTGATCTCTGGTCTCGAACTCCAGGGCTCAAGTGATCCTTCTGCCTTGGCCTCCTAAATTGTTGGGATTACAGGCATGAGCCACTGTGCCTGGCCAACAGTCATTTTGTTTAGTTTTGTTTTTGAGACCGAGTCTCACTCTGTTGTCCAGGCTACAGTGCAGTGGTGCCATCTTGGCTTACCGTAACATCTGCCTCCCAGGTTCAAGCAATTCTCGTGTCTCAGCCTCCCAAGTAGCTGGGATTACAGGAGTGTGCCATCACTCCTGGCTAATTTTTTTGTATTTTTAGTAGAGACGAGGTTTCGCCATGTTGGCCAGGCTGATCTCGAAATCCTGACCTCAGGTGATCCACCCGCCTTGGCCTGCCAAAGTGCTCGGATTAAAGGCATGAGCCACCTGGCCCAGTAATTTTTTTTTTTTTTTTTGAGACGGAGTTTCACTCTTTTTGCCCAGGCTGGAGTGTAATGGCATGATCTCAGCTCACTGCAACCTCCGCCTCCTGGGTTCAAGTGATTCTCCTGCCTCAGCCTCCTGAGTAGCTGGAATTACAGGCATGTGCCACCACGCCCAGCTAATTTTGTATTTTTAGTAGAGACGGGGTTTCTCCATGTTGGTCAGGCTGGTCTCGAACTCCTGATGGTCAGGTGATCTGCCCGCCTCGGCCTCCCAAAATGCTAGGATTACAGGCGTGAGCCGCCGCGCCTGGCTCTGGCCCAGTAATTGTTTTTATACTAAATTTTTTTTTTTTTGAGACAGAGTTTCACTCTTGTTGCCCAGGCTGGAGTGCCATGGCACGATCTCGGCTCACTGCAACCTCCACCTCCCGGGTTCAAGCGATTCTCCTGCCTCAGCCTCCTGAGTAGCTGGGATTACAGGCATGCGCCACCACAGCCAGCTAATTTTTTTTTTTTTTTTTTTTTTTTGAGACGGAGTATTGCTCTGTCACCCAGGCTGGAGTGCAGTGGTGCGATCTCGATTCACTGCAACCTCTGCCTCCAGGGTTCACGCCATTCTCCTGCCTCAGCCTTCCGAGTAGCTGGGACTACAGGCGCCCGCCAACACACCTGGCTAATTTTTGTATTTTTAGTAGAGACAGGGTTTCACCGTGTTAGCCAGGATGGTCTCGATCTCCTGACCTCGTGATCCGCCTGCCTCGGCCTCCCAAAGTGCTGGGATTACAGGCGTGAGCCACTGCGCCCGGCCAATTTTTTGTATTTTTAGTAGAGATGGGGTTTCTCCACGTTGGTCAGGCTGGTTTTGAGCTCCTGACCTCACGTGATCTGCCCTTCTCGGGCTCCCAAAGTGCTGGGATTACAGGCGTGAGCTGCCACACCCAGGCTTTATACTAAAATTAGTCTTTCTCAGTCTGTGTTTATTATTGCAACATTTTATTCTTATATCCATTATTATATATTTATGTATCCACTGATTGATAGTATTTCAAAATATAATTTTCCTGAGGCAGTTTTTCATTTTACATTAAATAGTATTTTTTATGTTTATATTTCAAAGTGAGTATTCAGGTATTACAGCTTATCCAAATAATGTCCTTATTCTCCCTACTGACTATATGTATCTTTTTTTTTTTTTTTTTTTTTTTGAGACAGAGTTTCACTTTTGTTGCCCAGGCTGGAGTGCAGTGGCGCCATCTGAGCTCACTGCAACCTCCGCCTCCCCTCCCAGGTTCAAGCAATTGTCCAGCCTCAGCCTCCCGAGTAGCTGGGATTACAGGCACCTGCCACCGAGCCCAGCTAATTTTTGTATTTTGAGTAGAGATGGGGTTTCACCATGTTGGCCAGGCTGGTCTCGAACTCCTGACCTCAGGTAATCTGCCTGCCTGGGCCTCCCAAAGTGCTGGGATTACACTTTGGGTGTAATGGGTGTAAGTGCTGGGTGGCTCATGCCTATGAGCCACCATGCCTGGCTACCCCATTTTTTGTTTAAAAGAAAAGCCATAACATGTAAAATCCTATATATCTTTGTGTCTTTCTTTAACATTTTCAGAGGCTAAACACCAAATTGTTAATGATGCTTTTATCAAGGCTTTGAAATGTTGGAAAGGAGGAGGAGCTAAAGGGGCTGGCACTGAGTAGGAGGGAACAGTTTTTTTTTTTTTTTGGAGATAGAGTTTTGCTCCTGTCGCCCAGGCTGAAGTGCAATGGTGCAATTTTGGCTCACTGTAATCTCTACCTCCTGGGTTCAAGTGATTCTCCTGCCTCAGCCTCCTGAGTAGCTGGGATTACAGGCATGCGCCACCATGCCCGGCTAATTTTTGTATTATTATTAGAAACAGGGTTACACCATGTTGGCCAGGCTGGTCTCAAACTCCTGACCTCAGGTGATCCACCCGCCTCAGCCTCCCAAAGTGCTGGGATTACAAGCATGAGCCACCGTGCCCAGCCTAAGCATGTACTTGTTTTTTGTTGTTGTTGTTTCTTTTTTGAGGTGGAGTTTCGCTGTTGTTACCCAGGCTGGAGTGCAATGGCACGATCTCAGCTCACTGTAGCCTCTGCCTCCCCAGTTCAAACGATTCTCCTGCCTCAGCCTTCTAAGTAGCTGGGAGTATAGGCATGCACCACCACACTTGGCTAATTTTGTATTTTTAGTAGAGATGGGGTTTCTGCATGTTGGTCAGGCTGGGATCGAACTCCCAACCTCAGGTGATCCTCCCGTCTCAGCCTCCCAAAGTACTGGGATTATAGGCGTGAGTCACCACGCCCAGCCCTAAGCATATGCTTCTTTAGTGATTCAAATGCCTGGGGGAAAAATATTCAGGGTGAAAAAATGAAGATAATACTTGCCTAACCTACTTTACATTATTTTAAAAGATTATTGTAAGATAAAATGCAATAGGGAATGTGAAAATGTTCTGAAAATTATTAAGTGCTGTTGAATAAGATGAAGTAGAAGTAGAAATAGAAACAGTGATTTTTGAGTGTCATTTCAATAGAGGGATAAAAGCCACTTTGGAAGGATTTGAAATAAGTGCTAATAAAGTCAGAGATGTGCATATCAGTTATTCATTGATTTGGCAGTGAAAGGACGAATAGAAATTAGATGATGGAGGAGACTTTTCTTAAATTTTTAATTGGAAAATTTTCTAACTTAAAAGTTGAAAGTACCATAAATACTAACATAGCCTCAATCTAGACTCTACAATTATTAACATTTTGCTACATTTGTTTTCTTTCTGTGTGTCTATAGAAAATTTGGGTTTTTTTTGTCAAACCATTTGAAAGCACATTGTAGGCATCATGACATTTTACCCCAAGTGCTTCAACATGCTTATTTAAATAATAAGGACCTTGTCCTGCATAACCACAATACCATGTTCACACTTAAGAAAATTAATAACTCTGGCCGGGCGCGGGAGCTCATGCCTATAATCCCAGCACTTTGGGAGGCTGAGGTGGGTGGATTGCCTGAGGTCAGGAGTTTGAGACCAGCCTGGCCAACATAGTGAAACCCCGTCTCTACTAAAAATAAAAAAAAAATTAGCTGGGCCTGGTGGCAGGCACCTGTAATCCCAGCTACTCTGGAGGCTGAGGCAGAAGAATCGCTTGAACCCAGGAGGCAGAGGTTGAAGTGCGCCGAGATTGTGCCATTGCACTTCAGCCTGAGCAACAAGAGTGAGACTCCGTCTCAAAAAAAAAAAGAAGAAAAATAATAACTCTACAATATTTTCTGATATCCATTCCATACTCAGATTTCCCCAGTTCTAAAAATCTTCATTAGGTAGAAGATTTTATTTCTTCAAGATCCAAAGTATATACATTGCATTTGCCTGATAGCTCAGTAGTCTCTTAATTTATAATACTCCCCCTGTCCTTTTGTCTCTCCACATTATTAACCTGGGAAGGGGCTAAGCCGTTGTCTTACCAAATGTCCTACATTCTAGATTTGTCTAGATTTCTCATGGTGTAACTTTCCTTCTTAATCATTTCAGGTAACCTTTATCAAAAGGATGGAGTTGGGAAAAGGAAAACTACTCAGGACTGGACTGAATGCGTTGCATCAAGCAGTGCATCCGATCCATGGCCTTGCCTGGACCGATGGGAATCAAGTTGTCCTAACTGATTTGCGGCTTCACAGTGGAGAGGTCAAGTTTGGGGACTCCAAAGTCATTGGACAGTTTGAATGTGTCTGTGGGTTGTCCTGGGCCCCACCTGTTGCAGATGATACACCTGTTCTACTCGCTGTCCAGCATGAGAAGCATGTCACTGTGTGGCAGCTGTGTCCCAGCCCTATGGAGTCAAGCAAATGGCTGACGTCTCAGACTTGTGAGATTAGAGGATCACTACCTATCCTTCCCCAGGGCTGTGTGTGGCACCCAAAATGTGCTATTCTGACTGTGTTGACTGCTCAGGATGTCTCCATTTTCCCTAATGTTCACTCTGATGATTCCCAGGTAAAGGCAGACATCAACACCCAGGGCCGCATTCACTGTGCATGTTGGACCCAGGATGGCCTGAGGCTGGTGGTGGCAGTAGGCAGCAGCCTGCATTCTTATATTTGGGACAGCGCTCAGAAGACTCTTCACAGGTGCTCCTCCTGCCTGGTGTTTGATGTGGACAGCCACGTCTGCTCCATCACAGCAACTGTGGACTCACAGGTTGCTATAGCTACTGAGCTTCCATTGGATAAGATCTGTGGCTTAAATGCATCTGAAACCTTTAATATCCCACCTAACAGTAAAGACATGACTCCGTATGCTTTACCAGTTATTGGTGAAGTACGCTCTATGGATAAAGAGGCAACTGATTCTGAAACAAATTCTGAAGTATCAGTTTCTTCTTCCTATTTAGAACCTCTGGATCTAACTCACATACATTTCAATCAACATAAGTCTGAGGGTAATTCTCTTATTTGTCTAAGAAAAAAGGACTACTTGACAGGAACTGGCCAAGATTCTTCACATTTGGTCCTTGTGACCTTTAAGAAGGCAGTTACCATGACGAGAAAAGTCACTATTCCAGGCATTCTGGTTCCTGATCTGATAGCATTTAATCTTAAAGCCCACGTAGTGGCAGTGGCTTCCAACACTTGTAATATAATTTTGATCTACTCTGTCATTCCATCTTCAGTCCCAAACATCCAGCAAATTCGATTAGAGAACACTGAAAGACCAAAAGGGATATGTTTCTTGACAGACCAACTATTACTAATTTTGGTAGGAAAACAAAAACTCACTGATACAACATTTCTTCCTTCTTCAAAGTCTGATCAGTATGCCATTAGCTTGATTGTTAGAGAAATAATGTTGGAAGAAGAACCTTCAATAACATCAGGTGAAAGCCAGACTACCTACTCTACTTTCAGTGCTCCGTTAAATAAAGCAAATAGAAAAAAGTTAATTGAAAGTCTTTCCCCAGATTTTTGTCACCAAAACAAAGGGCTGTTGCTGACAGTTAATACCAGTAGTCAGAATGGAAGGCCTGGAAGAACACTTATTAAAGAAATCCAGAGTCCTCTGTCTAGTATCTGTGATGGCTCCATAGCTCTAGATGCTGAGCCTGTTACCCAGCCAGCATCGCTGCCCAGACACAGCAGCACACCAGACCACACCAGCACACTGGAGCCTCCTCGTTTGCCTCAAAGAAAGAACTTACAAAGTGAAAAGGAAACTTATCAGCTGTCTAAGGAAGTGGAAATTTTATCTAGGAACCTGGTTGAAATGCAACGGTGTCTTTCTGAACTTACAAACCGTCTGCATAATGGGAAGAAATCCTCTTCAGTGTATCCACTCTCTCAAGATCTTCCTTATGTTCACATCATTTACCAGGTAAATTCTCCTTTGAGGAACTACCACTATACATAAAAGCTCCTGCAGCCGGTGAGTACTGCAAGAAACGTATTGATGAGGAAGATGGTGCTCTAACTGAGCTTCACTAAGCTGGGCATGTTATGTTACAGGCAAGTTGGTACACCTTTGCAGGTTGGTTGGTTTTTAGCCTGCCAACCAGATAGGCGCACATATCAGTCTGCATCATGATTTTATCAGGTGCATGACGTGGAAAAATAAATGTCTGCACTAATTCGGGCAATTTATATTTAGAAAAAAAATCATGTTATTTCATTGTGACAACCTTTTCCTTATATAATAGAGATACTCCTCCAGTTATAAAAAAGGTTATGTTGCTGGGCTCCATGGCTCACGCCTGTAATCCTAGCACTTTGGGAGGCCGAGGCAAGTGGATCACCTGAGGTCAGGAGTTCGAGACCAGCCTGGCCAATGTGGTGAAACCCTGTCTCTAACAAAAATATAAAAATTAGCTGGGCATGGTGATGGGCGCCTGTAATCCCAGCTACTTGGGAAAGCAGGAGTATCACTTGAGCCCGGGAGGCACAGGTTTCAGTGAGCCGAGACTGTGCCACTGCACTCCAGCCTGGGCAACAGGGCGAGACTCCGTCTCAAAGAAAAAGGAAAAGGTTATGTTCATTTAAAATGTTTTGATGCATTTCTTTATGCATGCATGTCCAAACATTATATAAGTGGGATCATATTATACATGTTTTTATCATGGACACTTTCCTCCTATATAAAATATGGCCTTGCCCCATCTTCCCCTTAATCCGCTGTAACCAGCAGCTTAACATGGATCCTTTCGTGACTTTCTCCATGGTCACATGATCTAACACAGGTCTTTGTGTACATAGATATATAGGTATGTGGGAATGGTTTGTCATTGTTTTTACAAAAATAGGGTGATATGGTGCACTCTTTACTTCATACTGAGAGTATGCTCTTTATTTAGCCATTCCCTTGTTGATTGACATTCACTTTGTTTTTAGTTTTTAGCTACTCCAAATGATGCTGCAGTAGTACTCTTATATGTATCCATTCATATTAGTACCTTTATTTCTGTTGGATTGGTTCCCAGAAGTAGAAATGCAAATTTGAAGAGTATATGTGTTTCTACTTTTAATTGAGTTACCAGATTGCCTCTCAAAGATTTTTACTTAACAGTGCATCATCACACGCCCGCCAGCTATGTATAAGGCTGTCCTTTTCCTCGTATGTCACCAATCTGATCAGTGACCCTCCTGCTTCAGCCTCCTGAGCAGCTGAGACTACAAGCACATGCCACCACACTTGGCTAATTTTTTTTTTTTTTAGCAGAGACAGGATCTTGCTATGTTGCCTAGGCTGATCATGACCTCCTGGGCTCAAGTGATAGTCTTGCCTCAGCCTCCCAAAGTGCTGGGATTACAGGTGTGTGCCACTGCATGTGGCCCCAACCCTACATTTTTTTAAAGAGGATTTTTGCCACATTAACTACATGGAGTTTTCAGTAGTAGAGTTTTAATTTTTTTTTTTAAGTCACAGCTTTGCTGTGAGGAGCATTTTATTTTATTTATTTATTTATTTATTTATTTATTTATTTATTTATTTTTGAGACGGAGTCTCTGTCACCAGGCTGGAGTGCAGTGGCGCGATCTCAGCTCGCTGCAACCTCCAACTCCCAGGTTCTAGCAATTCTCCTGCCTCAGCCTCCCAAGTAGCTGGGATTACAGGCACGTGCCACCACACCTGGCTAATTTTTGTATTCTTAGTAGAGGCGGGGTTTCACCGTGTTGGCCAGGATGAGCTCAATCTCCTGACCTTGTGATCTGCCCGCCTTGGCCTCCCAGAGTGCTGAGATTACACGTGTAAGCCACTGCGCCCGGCCTAATTTTTTTTTAATTAAAAAAAATTTTTTTTTAACTATAGAGACAAGGTCTTGCTATGTTGCCCAGGCTTGTTTGGAAGTCCTGGGCTCAAGCAGTCCTCCTGCTTCAGCCTCCCAAAGCGCTGGGATTACAGGTGTGAGCCACTGCACCCAGCCATAGTTTTGATTTTTTTAAAATTATTTTATTTATAAATGTGATAACTGGTTTGGATTTCTTTCCTACTATGACTTTTTAAAGAGTTTGTTTTCTTTTTCTTCTGTCTTTTTTTAATAGGTAATTCATTTATTTGGTTTAAAAAGCAAAACTGTATTTTAATAAAAACTGTATACCAAGAACTCTTATTCCTACCCTATGTTTCTTCAGCCTGTTCTCCTTTCCTCCTTTAGGTAACCATTTTTATTTTTATTTCTTTATGCAGATACTAGCAGACTTTAGTTATGTATTTTTATTTCCCCTTTTGTTACACAAAAGGGAAGGTGATATACACACCTTTTCATTTTCCATTTAATAGTATGTCCTAGAGAGCTCTTTATATCAGCACACAGAGCTCTTTTTTCATCTTTTTTTCCACAGCTGCATAGTATTTTTTTTTCCTAATTACAAAAGTAATATATACTTGTTGAGGAAAAAAATTTTACCATTACAGAAAGTAAAAATTTTCCATAATCCAACCTTTAGAGAAAATCACAGATATAGCTAAATATTTTATTAGATGTTAGATGTAAATATTTCCATATTTTTTCTGTACATTTATCTAATCCAAAAAAAATCTAATATAAAAATATATTATTTTTAAAATTTTCTTTAAATAGGCTATTTTACTTGCAAACAATAATATATCTTTCTGTTTTTAAAACACTTATAAATGTAAAATTTTATATTTTTAAAAACTAAGGTTAAAACAACCATGTTTGGCCAGGCACAGTGGCTTAAACCTGTAACCCCAGAACTTTGGGAGGCCGAGATGGGTAGATCACTTGAGTCCAGGAGTTCGAGACCAGCCTGGGCAGCATGGCAAAACCCTGTCTCTACCGAAAAATACAAAAATTAGCCAGCCGTGATGGCACCCACCTGTTTTCCCAGCTACTTGGGAGGCTGAGGTGTGAGGATCACCTAAGCTGAGGAGGTTGAGGCTGCAGTGAGCTGTGATCGTGCCACTGCACGCCAGCCTGGGAAACAGAGCAAGACTCTGTCTCAAAAAAAAAAAAAAAAAGTTTTGTTGCCCTTTCAATTCCTCAGTTTTTTAGTTTATAATTATGTCATCCAACCAAGCTGTTGTCAGTAGTTATCTCTGGAGGATAGAATTTTGGGGGCTTTACTGTCTGCATTATATATTTCTGTTATATTTTTATTTTATTTATTTATTTTTAGATAGAGCTTTGCTTTGTCACCCAGGCCGGAGTGCAGTGGCGCGATCTTGGCTCACTGCAACCTCCGCCTCCTGGGTTCAAGCGATTCTCTGCCTCAGCCACCCAGGTAGTTGGGATTACAGGTGTGCACCACCACACCCAGCTAATTTTTGTATTTATAGTAGAGATGGGGTTTCACCATGTTGGCCAGGCTGGTCTCGAACTCCTGACCTCAAGTGATCCACCCGCCTTGGCCTTCCAAAGTTCTGGGATTACAGGCGTGAGCCACCACACCCGGCCCTATTATACTTTTAAAAAATTGATCATTTATTCCTTTTGTAATGAGAAAAGTAAAAGTTACACAATAATCAAAAGCAAGAAATAGTTTCCCCTGTAATTTCAGAAATTACATTTCATAAGACGTGAAATAAATGATTAGTTGGTTTTGACTTTTACAGTTTATTCCTGTGACTTCATTTAAAAATATTAGTGGACATATTCTTTGAGTGGTTCATCCTACCACAGTGATGTATAGTTTTATTTTCTTTTTATGAGATGGGGTCTTGCCATGTTGCCCAGGCTGCTCTCCAATACCTGGGCTCAAGCAATCCATGCACTCTGGCCTCCCAAAGTGCTTAACAACAAAATAAGTTAGACACATAACTTATACAACTGTCCTTCATTTATTTATTTATTTAGAGATGGAGTCTGTCTCTGTCACTCAGCCTGGAGTACAGTGGCACCTTCTCAGCTCACTGCAACCTTTGCCTCCTGGGTTCAAGTGATTCTCCTACCTCAGCCTCCCGAGTAGCTGGGACTACAAGTGTGTACCACCATGCCTGGCTAACTTTTTTATTTTTTGTAAAGACAGGGTTTTGCCATATTGCCCAGGCTGGTCTTGAACTCCTGGGCTCAAGTGATCTGTCCATCTTAGCCTCCCAAACTTTTGGTACTAAGGGGTGAGCCACTGTGCCCAGCCAATTTTTAATGACTTTAAAATTTACAAATCATTTATTTTTATTTGTGCTTTTTCTAAGCTATGTGAATTTTGACCATGGTTTGTTTATTTTATGCAAATCCTCTGCTACTCTACCACTTAGGACACTCTCTCGGCATTTTTTTTCCTAATAAACCATGAGGTGTCTTAGCTATATCTGAAACAGCCAAGAAGGTGTTCTTACCGTCAGATTGTGTCTCTCAGGCTGCTGTCCATCATCCTTTTAGTGTTATTAGTTGTATTCTAGGAGAGCCAGTTCCTAGTGATGAAGAACCCTGAGGAAAGAGTAGAACAAAAGGAAAAATAAGGCTGTTTTGTTCGGATTTTTTAGTTGTGTTAAATAATGCAGCAAAGAGCTCCTTAAAACTGAAGTCCAGTTGATTAGTGGTAATAGATAAGAATTTTTTAAAAAACTATTTACACATTCCTTTCTTAAGAAATGTTAACTCGATTACTTCTGCAATCAGTTTAACAACTTTTATTTTTTATTTGCAGAAACCTTATTATCTAGGTCCTGTTGTTGAAAAAAGAGCGGTGCTTCTCTGTGATGGTAAACTAAGGCTCAGTACAGTTCAGCAGACTTTTGGCCTTTCTCTCATTGAAATGCTACATGGTAGGTCGTGCTCAGAAATTGACCCTAGCTAACATCCTTGCCTCCCCCACCATCTGTTTTAACTATGCCGGTAATGAAAATGAGGGATACCAACCATTCAGTAATTCACTGGATAGTTAACAAGTAATCTATTATTATTATTATTATTGAGACAGGGTCTTGCTCTGTTGCCCAGGCCAGAGTGCCTCGGTGTGATCATAGCTCACTGCAGCCTCGAACTCCTGAGCTCAAGCAATCCTCCCATCTCAGACTCCCAACTAGTGAGAACTATAGGTGTTCACTACCATGCCCAGCCAAGTTTTGTTTGTTTGTTTGTTTGTTTTTTGGAGATGGAGTCTTGCTCTGCCACCCGGTCCTGGAGTACAGTGGCGCAGTCTCAGCTCACTGCAACCTCCGCCTCCCGGGTTCAAGCAATTCTCCTGTCTCAGCCTCCTGAGTAGCTGGGACTACAGGCGCACGCTGCCATGCCTGGCTAATTTTTTGTATTTTCGTAGAGACGGGTTTCACTGTGTTGCCCAGGCTGAGCTCAGGCAATCCGCCTGCCTCGGCCTCCCAAAGTGCTGGGATTAAAGGCGTGAGCCACTGCACCCAGCCTCAGCCAAGTTTAAAAAAAATGTTTGTAGATAACGGGGTCTCACTCTGTTGCCCAGGCTGGTCTTGAACTCCTGACCTCAAGTGATCCGTCCACCTTGGCCTCCCAAAGTGCTATGATTACTGGCATAAGCCACCACACCCAGCCTTAACAAATATTATTAATTGCCTACTATATACCCAGGCCTAGTATAGGTGCCAAAACATATGGAAAATATGCACCCTGCCCTTAGGGAACTTACAGCCTAGCTGGAAAAGTTAAATGTACATATGAAAAAATAAGAAAAGACTTACAAAGCAGTGTATAACAACTGCAAGGAAGTAACAGAAAGCCTCATTTATTTCTGTTGCACTAAAATGTAAAGATCATAGCAGCATTGCAGAATGTTTCTTTCTTTCTTTTTTTTTTTTTGAGACCGAGTCTCACTCTGTCACCCAGGCTGGAATGCAGTGGCATGATCTCGGCTCACTGCAACCTCCGCCTCCTGGGTTCAAGCGATTCTCCTGCCTCAGCCTCCCGAGTAGCTGGGACTACAGGCACATGCCACCACGCCTGGCTAATATTTTGTATTTTTAGTAGAAATGGGGTTTCACCATGTTAGCCAGGATGGTCTCGATCTCCTGACCTCGAGATCTGCCCGCCTCGGCCTCCCAAAGTGGTGGGATTATAGGCGTGAGCCACTGCGCCCGGCCTACAGAATATTTCTTTGAGGAGTTGCCATTCTAATATGGAGTAAACATGGATGTTCAAAGGATATTCCTAAGTGGCAAGGGACTGAGTCATGCCAGATTCATCAGATGTGGAGCATGGTTGTTTTCTTATGCCTCATTCTTGTAACAGTAGCCACCACATTGAACATCAAATATCATTTCATTTTTTCCCCTTTTTCTCCTACCTGACCCTAAGTAATACCCAGTCTTCCCAATACCCCATTCTCTGTAAAATCTTACAAGGATTGAGTTGAATATTATCAACTACTATATTCCTTCACTCAGAAAAAAAAATTTGTAGTCATATGTTTCATCATAAGAATAATATATACTAAATTGCCTGTGTATTTATTTTTATTTGCAGATTCCCACTGGATTCTTCTCTCTGCTGACAGTGAGGGCTTTATCCCGTTAACCTTCACAGCCACACAGGAAATAATCATAAGAGATGGCAGCCTGTCCAGGTCAGATGTCTTCAGAGACTCTTTTTCTCACAGTCCAGGTGCTGTTTCTTCTCTTAAAGTCTTTACAGGCCTTGCTGCCCCCAGTTTAGATACCACTGGCTGTTGTAACCATGTAGATGGCATGGCTTGATATCTGCAGTGTCCTTGCTGTGTAGCTCTTCAGATGAGACCATTACAAACAAGGCCTGCTTGACACTGGACACTCGCCAATGAGACTCCCACTGCACTCAGGCGAAGCGCTTGCCATGGTCGGCTCTCCTGGTTTCCCCCTGTTTCCCCTGAGCTGAGGCTCGCTGCTGTGTAGCAGAGCTCAGTCTTTATTAGATGGCTCCGAAAGTGGTGTTTATGTATTCATGACTGTGTGGTTTTGACTAAGGGCAGAATTCTCAGAACAAAACAATATTATGGTGCCATATGGATGGTGTTTTATGGTTTCTCTGAGGCTTTGTGTCCCTTGTCCAAAGCTGCATTGAAGCTGTCTTAGGAGCACTTAAAAGATACCTTGGCATTGTTATAGGTCTTTTTCTTGGCTTCAAGAGGAGGTTGAGGAGTCTGCTGGGGGGCATGTGCTCTAGCATATTAACCTCAAACCAGCAAGAATTAGCAGAGCTCCAAGGAGGACCAGAGACCCACTGGCTTCTGCTCTCAGGAACAGGAAGTGGCTCTGATGTTGCCTGGACCTCCCAGAATTTAAACCAAACCCTCTTGCTTCCTTAACAAATTCTGGCTGACGAAGGTCCAGGTACTCTTAAAAACTGGCCCTGGGAAAATTTTGAATGAAATTTCAAGGGAATTTGTCCCCTCTGGGTTCCACTTGAGGTTGTGCCGATGCTGCTACCACACTGTCGAGCCCAGGTAAGTCCTACTGCAGGATTTTGTGCTGTGGCCACTCATGAGTGTCCCTGAAATAACTTTTTTTTTTTTTAAATCCAGTTTTGGGATCACGCAACTTTCCTATTTTTCTCCCAGTAGTCAGCTCCCTTAGTTAACTTGTCACTTTAATTTGATATTTTTATTTTCTCTCCTTTTAAGTCTTAGAGACCAGCAGAGAATCTGTGAGAGAAAGTATTTCAGGAAGTTAGAAATTCAACCGAATCTGAGGTAGTCCTAAAAAGTGCCATTTTGTTTCACTTATGGGCTAAAGTACCAGCTTAGTCAGGTAAGAGCCCTGACCCACTTCAGATGGTAACACCACTTCTCACTGCCTTCAGATGGAATCACAGATTTCAGTCACGGCGCATAACAAATTGATCAGTGAGTGGCTAGGCATCTGCAGATAAATTGTTTCAGCCATAGAAGCTCCATTAGCACATATGCTTCCTTTTCCCCCCTTCCTTTAAAATCATCTGGAAAGAAACTATTTTGTGCCCTTGGGGACTCCTGTCTGTCTGTTACAGTTTACCAAGATGGAGCTGGGTTAGGAAAGAAGTGAGGGCCCATTTTGTGGTTCAAGTGCACTAGACAGCTGCTGGGGTAGGAAGCACAGGCAATGTCTGTAATCAGCTGTGGGAGAGCAGTGACTGAGAACAGTCTGAGGCCTGGCTCCACTTGGAAGTATCTGGGGTGCGATGAAATCACAATTATCTTGAAGCCTAAAGAGGGAACTACAAGACTGTTAACTAAGATCAATGTGGGCACCTAAAAGGGTATGTTAAAATCACCATTTCTCAGGTCAAAATACTGTGAATAAGTCTTCAATAAAATCACTAATGGTTATTGTGGCTGTTTTGGATGTTTTGGTAGTATTTTCTTTGCGATTATTGCTGCTATAGAGGAACCGGCAATAATCTTGCAGTTATATATGCATATGTTGTCTGTATTCCTTCTTCTGGTGGACAGTCCAGAATATAAATGGTTCTTTACAACAAATCTGATTCCATGACAACTCTCATACAAGAGATGTTTCCTTGACCTCTGCTATTATTACAGTCACTGGAACAATAGAAAATAATCTCATATTTGCTGGCTTTGGAGGCAGGGAGAAAAGAGCTAAATTCTTCAAAGGATTGTTTAATGTTCTACAGTCATGCACCACCTCGCCTGGCTAATGCTTGTATTTTTAGTAGAGACGGGGTTTCACCATGTTGGCCAGGATAGTCTCGAACTCCTGCCGGCCTCCTCTTTCTTTATACCTTGTGTGTTGGACAAACATTTTAATTTTAAGGAAGCCACACATTTACCTATCTTCCTTTTTATGGAAGTTTTGTCTTCATATTTATGTCTTTAATCAGTATTCTGCTGGATAATTTTATTTGTTTGGGGGGTTTTTGTTGTTGTTGTTGTTGTTTTTTGAGACGGAGTCTTACTCTGTCGCCCAGGCTGGAGTGCATTGGCACAATCTTGGCTCACTGCAACCTCCAACTCCCGGGTTCAAACCATTCTCCTGTCTCAGCCTCCTGGGTAGCTCGGATTACAGGTGCCCGCCACCACACCCATCTAATTTTTGTATTTTTAGTAGAGATGGGGTTTCACCATATTGGCCAGGCTGGTCTCAAACTCCTGATCTCAAGTGATCTGCCTACCTCAGCCTCCCAAGTGCTGGGATTACAGGCATGAGCCACTGAGCCCAGCCTCTGCTGGATAATTGAGGGGTCCCTCTGCAGAGTTCCTGACTTCATGCTCTGCATTGCTCTGTGTGGTAAATTTCATTTGCCAGGTTTTTTGTGTTCTTTTTTTGAGACAGAGTCTCTCTCTGTCGCCCAGGCTGGAGTGCAGTGGTGTGATCTTGGCTCACTGCAACCTCTGCCGCCTGGGTTCAGGCGATTCTCCTGCCTCAGCCTCCTGAGTAGCTGGGATTACAGGCGCCTGCCACTGTGCCTGGCTAATTTTTGTAGTTTTAGTAGAGATGGGGTTTCACCATCTTGGCCATGCTGGTCTTGAACTCCTGACCTCGTGTTCCCGCCTCGGCCTCCCAAGGTGCTGGAATTGCAGGCGTGAGCCACCACACCCAGCCGATAGGTTTTTTAATGCTAAACTTTGCATTCTTGGAATAAACCCAGTATGTTCATGGTGTATTTATTTTTTATACGTTGCTACTCATTTTGCTATTATTTTGTTTAAGATTCTTCCTTTCCCTGTTAATGGGTAAGATTAGCCCGTAAATTCTTTTTTTATTTTTGAGACAGGGGCTTGCTCTGTTGCCCAGGCTAGAGTGAGTGGCACTATCACAGCTCACTGCAGCCTCAACCTCCTGGCCTCAAGCAGTCCTCCTACCTTAGCCCCGCAAGTAGCTGGGACTACAGGTGTGTGCCACCACACCCAGCTAATTTTTTTAAAATTTTTTGTAGAGATAGGGTCTCCCTTTGTTGCCCAGACTTTTCTTGAAATCCTGGGCTCAAGTGACCCTCCCACCTTGGCCTCCCAGTGTCCCAGGATTACAGGCTTGAGCCATCACACCTGGCCTCTTTCCTTTTTAATGTGCTTGGCTGGTTTTGGTAAGAAGCTTACTCTGGCCTGATAGAATGAGTAGCAGAGTGTGCCTTCTTTTTCTGCTCTGTGGAGGAGTTTGTGTGAGGTAGGAATGATCCTTGATTGAAAGTTTGCTAGAACTTGGAAATATCATTTGGTCTCATGTTTTCTTTGTGGGAATATTATTATTATTATTATTATTATTTTATTTTTTTTTTTTGAGATGGAGTCTCGCCCTGTCACCCAGGCTGGAGTACAGCGGCGCGATCTCAGCTCACTGCAAGCTCTGCCTCCCAGGTTCATGCCATTCTCCTCCCTCAGCCTCCCGAGTAGCTGGGACTACAGGCGCCTGCCACAACGCCCGGCTAATTTTTTGTATTTTTAGTAGAGATGGGGCTTCACCATGTTAGCCAAGATGGTCTCGATCTCCTGACCTCGTGATCCGCCCGCCTCGGCCTCCCAAAGTGCTGGGATTACAGGCGTGAGCCACCGCCCCTGGCCCTTTGTGGGAATATTTTTAAATATTTATTTAATCCTTTAATATTTATGAGACTAAAAGGAGAAACTATTTTTTTCTGTAACCACAGAACACTTCTGACATCAGATGTGTGGGTTTTTCTACACCAAGCGATTCTTCAGTTCTCTATGGACATAACTGGGTACCCTACAATTTCATTCAGTTCTGATACTACCCAGAGTTAGTGCAGACCCAATAGGTTACGGGCTCAGTCCAACAGGCTGATCCCCACTTCCAATACCAGTTGCAAGTAGTGGGTCTCCAGGCGATACACACTTCTCTCCAGCTTGGCTGCAAATAGGGGATTCCCACAAAACCCTCCTCAGATTCGATAATTTCCTATAATGCATAGAACACAGAGAAACACTTTACTTAACATTTATTGGTTGATTATAAAATGAACAGCCAGCTGAAGAGGTATATAGAATGAAATCTAAAAGGGTCCCCTACACAAGAGTTTCTGTCCCCGTGGAGTGGGGTAGACCTCCTGGTACATGGATGTGTTCACCAACCTAGAAGCTCTCTGAAACCCTTCGTTTGGAAGTGGAGGCTCCATTACATGGGCACAATTGATTAAATCATTGATGATGAGCTCAGTCTTCAGCCCCTGTCCCCTCCCGGTAGGAAGATAAGGCTGAAAGTTTCAACCTTCTAATCACATGGTTGGTTTCTCTGGCAACCAGCCCCCATCCTCTGCCAGTCACATCATTAGCATAAACTCAGATCTGTTTGAAAAGGGCTTCTTATGTATAACAAAAGATGTTCCCCTCACCCCTACCACTCAGGAAGTTACTAGCATTTTAGAAGCTCTGTGCCAGGAACCTGGGGCAGAGACCAAATGTGTATTTCTTATGTCACAGGGACCATTTAGGATTTCTATATATTTATATACATACATATATATACTCTGTTCAGTTACGCTTGTTTTGAAAACCCAAATTTGTTCTAACATGGCTGTGATATTAGAGAATGAGTACAGCATAATGTGAATTTCCTGTTACTTACACACCAATTTTGTCCTTAAGAAATGCTAGAGCTGGGAACGGGGGCTGTGTCTGTAATCCCAGCTACTCAGGAGGCTGAGGCAGTAGGATCACCTGAGGCCAGGAGTTTAAGACCAGCCTGGGCAGGCCGAGTACGGTGGCTCATGCCTTTGGGAGGCTGAGGCGGGGCGGATCACGAGGTCAGGAGATCGAAACCATTCTGGCTAACACGGTGAAACCCCGTCTCTACTAAAAATACAAAAATTAGCTGGGCGTGGTGGCGGGCACCTGTAGTCCCAGCTACTCGGGAGGCTGAGGCAGGAGAATGGCGTGAACCCGGGAGGCGGATTTTGCAGTGAGCCGGCTGTAACGTTTTCTTGAATGGGTGGTAGGCCACAGATATTACTGGTCCACAAGCCAGGTTGGGCAGGAGCTTCCTTTTTCTAGAGACAAGTGCTACTGGGCTAGTCAGGGGCACAGGCCTATCTGAGATAGTCTGAAGGCAACAGACAAGAAATGCCAAGTGGGGTCCTGGAGTGCGGGCCAGTCCCTTCAGGACACGTTGCCGAAGACTCCACATCCCAGGGAGAAAGGTCACATACTAAACTGCCAGACCAGGTGCTGGAGGGCTGAGGAGGGCGATGTCAGGCCCCGAGGGTGCTGGCTCCTGTGTCCATTCACAGTCGCCCTCCTAAGCTTTAGGCCAGGCTGTAGCTGGTCCTCCTGTGGGAAGGGAAGGAAGCCAAGGAGAAGGATGGAAGTGGTGTGGGCCCTCTGTCCTGCCGCAGAAGCCCGCGGAAGGTTTGGTGGCTGCTCCTTGTCTTCCCAGCAACTCCTCTTCAACTCCTCCCCTCCCAAGTCCTGTAGATGAGCTACAACCCTGTTTCTCCAAGTGTCATCAAGCAGTTCCCCATCCGCCTGGCCTTCCCTGACTGGGAAGCATGCCCTCAGTATCTCTCTGCTGCAGAGCCCGAGGCCGTCACCCTCAGCAGGGAGTGGCTGATGACAAGGCCACCCACTGCCTGTCCCGCGTGGGCCTGCATGATATGTGCATGCTCGTGGACCTTACTTGTGTGAACATTGGGTGCTTGTGCACGTCTGCTGGACCAGACGTGGTGATGCTGCAGCAGTGATTCCTGAGTACCTGCTTGGCCTCAGGCTCTGTGCTGGGCTCTTGGGATACAAAAAGGAATAAAACAGCCAGCCTCAGCCTTCAAGGTTCCCATAGCCTCCCCGGAAGGTCAGACA